>NC_000022.11:13109544-13163677 GCF_000001405.40 Homo sapiens
AGCATTCCAAGAAATTTTTTGTGATGTGTCCATTTACGTCACAGAGTTGAACCTCTCCTTTGATTGGGCAGTTTGGAAACAGTCTTTTTGTAGAACCTGCAGAGGGATATTTGTGAGCCCTTTATGGCCTGTAGTGAAATACGAAGTATCTTCACCTAAAAACTAGACAGAAGGTTTCTGAGAAACTTCTTGGTGATGTGTGCCTTCATCTCACAGTGTTGAACCTTTCTTTTGATTGAGCAGTTTGCAAAGTCTTTCTGTAGAATCTGTAAATGGATATTTGGAGATATTTGAGGCCCGTGGTGAAAAAGGAAGTATCTTCACCTAAAAACCAGACAGAAAGATTTCTGAAAAACCTCTTTGTTATGTGTGAATTCATGTCACAGAATTCAACCTTTCTTTCACTTGAGCAGTTTGGAAACAGTCTTTGGTAGAAGATGCAGAGGGAAATTTCTTAGCTGCTTCAGGCCTATGGTGAAAAAGAAATATCTTCACAGAAAAACTAGACAGAAGCTTTCTGAGAAACTTCTTTGTGATGTGTCCATTCATCGCACAGAGTGAAACCTTTCTTTTGATTGAGGAGTTTGGAAAAGGTCTTTTCTTAGAATCTGCAAAGGGATATTTGTGAGCCCTTTATGGCCTTTGTTGAAATATGAAATATCTTCACGTAAAAAGTAGACAGAAGCTTTCTGACAAATTTCTTGGTGATGTGCACGTTTGTCACACGGAATTGAACCCTTCTTCTGATTGAGCAGTTTGGAATCAGTCTTTTTGTAGAATCTGTGAATGTGTATTTAGAGAGTTTTAAGGCCTAGGGTGCAAGAGGCAATGTCTTCACATAAAAACGACACAGTAGCATTTTGAGAAAACTCTTTGTGACATTTCCATTCATCTCTAATAGTTGGCCGTTTCCTTTCATTGAGCAGTTTGGAAGCAGTCTTTTTCTACAACCTGCAAAGGGATATTTCTGAGCGGTTTGGGGCCAACGGTGAAAAATAAATATCTTCCCATGAAAACTAGACAGAAGCATTTTGAGAAACTTCTTTTTGATGTGTGTATTCATCTCACAGATTTGAACCTTTCTTTAGATTTAGCAATTTGGAGAAAGTCTCTTGGTAGTATAAGTGGAGTTATATTTGCGAGCGGTTTAAGGCCTATGGTGCCAAAGGAAATACCTTCACATAAAATGCAGACAGAGGCTTTCCGAGAAACTTCTTTGTGATGTGTGCTTTCGTCTCACAGAGTTGTGCCTTTCTTTTGATTGACCAGTTTGGGAACATTCTTTTTGTAGAATCTGCAAATGGATATTTGGAGCAATTTGTGGCCTACGGTGAAAAAGGAAATATCTTCACAGAAAAACTAGACAGGCAGACTCCTGAGAAACTTCTTTTTGATGAGTGCATTCATTTCACATAGTTGAAACATGCCATAGGGGCCAGTTTGGAAACAGTCTTTTGGTAGAGTCTGCAGACAGATATTTTTGAGTGGCTTAAAGACTATGGTGAAAAAGGAAACATCTTCACATAGCAACCAGACAGAAGCAACCTGAGAAACTTCTTTGGGATGTGTTCATTCATCTCACAATGTTGAACGTTTCTTTTGATTGAGAAGTTTGTAAAGAGAACTTTTGTAGAATCCGCAAAGAGATATGTGTGAGTCCCTTGATTCCTATGGCAAAATAGGAATTATCTTGAGATAAAAGCGAGACAGAAGATTTCTGAGAAACTTTTTTGTGATGTGTGCTTTCATCTCACAGAGTTGAAAATTTCTTTTGATTGAGTAGTTTGGAAACAGTCTTTTCGTATCATCTGCAAACGGATGTTTGGAGCGCTTTGTGGCCTAAGGTGAAAATGGAAACATCTTCACATAAAAACTAGACAGAAGAATTCTGAGGAACCTCTTTATGATGTGTGCATTCATCTCAGATGGGTGAAATTTTCTTTTGATGGAGCAGTTTGGAAACAGTCTTTTTCTAGTATCTGCAGAAGGATATTTGTGAGCGGTGTAAGGCCTATGGTGAAAAAGGAAATATCTTCACATAAAAACCAGACAGAAGCCTTCTGAGGAACTTCTTTGTGATGTGTGCGTTCATCTCACCGTGTTGAAACTTTATTTTATTTGAGCAGTTTAGAGACAGTGTTTCTCTGCAATCTGCAAAGGTCTAACTCTGAGCCCTTTGAGGTCTATGGTGAAAAAGAAATGTCTTCACATTTAAACTAGACAGAAGCATTCTGAGGAACTTCGTTGTGATGCCTCCATTCATCTGACAGAGTTGAAGCTTTCTTCTAATTCAGCACTTTGGAAGGCATATTTTTGTAGAATCTGCAAAGGGATATTTTTTAGACTTTTGAAGCCTATAGTGAAATAGTAAATATCTTCCCATGAAAACTAGACAGGAGAATTCTGAGAAACTTCATTCTGACGTGGGCATTAACCTCAGAGAATTTAACCTTCCTTTTGATTGAGAAGTATGGAAACGGTCGTCTTTTAGAATCTGGAAAGGGATATTTCTTAGCCCTTTGAGGCCTACGGTGAAACTGGAAATATCTTCACATGAAAAGTAGACCGAAAGCTTTCGGAGAAACTTCTTTGAGATGTGTGCTTTCACCTCACAGAGTTAAACACTTTCTTTTGATGGAGCAGTTTGGAAACACTCTTTCTGTGACATCTGTAAATGGATATTAGGAGTGCTTTGAGGCCAATGGTGACAAAGGAAGTATCTTCACATAAAAACTACACAGAAGTTTTCTGAGAAACTACTTTTTGATGTGTCCACTAATCGAACAGAGTTAAAACTTTCTTTTTATTGAGCAGTTTGGATACAGTGTTTTCGGAGAATCTGCAAAAAACATTTGTGAGCCCTTTATTGCCTATGGTGAAATAGGAATCTTCTTCACATGTAAACTAGACAGAAGCTTTCTGAGGAACGTCTTCGTGACGTGTGCATTCGTCTCACATAGTTGAAACTTTCTTTGGATTGAGCAGTTTTGAAACAGTCCTTTTGTAGGATCTGCAAGGGGATATTTCTGAGCCCATTGAGTACTGTGATGCAATGTGAAGTATCTTCACATAAAAACTAGACAGACGCTTTCTAAGAAACTTCGTTGTGATGTGTGCTTTCATCGCACAGAATTGAAGCTATCCTTTGATTGAGGAGTTTGGAAACACTCTTTTTCTAGAATCTGCAAATGGATATTTGGAGAGCTTTTGAGGCCCGTGGTGAAAAACGAAATATCTTCACGTAAAAACTAAACAGAAGCTTTCTGAGAAACTCCCTTGCGATGTGTGCATTCACCTCACCGAGTGGAAACTTTCTTTTGATTGAGCAGATTGGAAAGAGGCTTATCGTACAACCTGCAAAGGGAGAATTCTGATCCGTTTGAGGCTTATGGTGAAAGAGAAATATCTTCCCATCAAAACTAGACGGAAGGATTCCAAGAAATTTTTTGTGATGTGTCCGTTTACGTCACAGAGTTGAACCTCTCCTTCTATTGGGCAGTTTGGGAACAGTCTTTTTGTAGAACCTGCAGAGGGATATTTGTGAGCCCTTTATGGCCTGTGGTGAAATACGAAGTATCTTCACCTAAAAACTAGACAGAAGGTTTCTGAGAAACTTCTTGGTGATGTGTGCCTTCATCTCACAGTGTTGAACCTTTCTTTTGATGGAGCAGTTTGGAAAGTCTTTCTGTAGAATCTGCAAATGGATATTTGGAGATATTTGAGGCCCGTGGTGAAAAAGGAAGTATCTTCACCTAAAAACCAGACAGGAGATTTCTGAAAAACCTCTTTGTGATGTGTGAATTCATGTCACAGAATTCAACCTTCCTTTCAGTTGAGCAGTTTGGAACCAGTCTTTTGTGGAAGCTGCAGAGGGAAATTTCTTAGCTGCTTGAGGCCTATGGTGAACAAGAAATAGCCTCACATAAAAAGTAGACAGAAGCTTTCTGAGAAACTTCTTCGTGATGTGTCCATTCATCTCACAGAGTTAAACCTTTCTTTTGGTTGAGGAGTTTGGAAAACGTCTTTTCTTAGAATCTGCGAAGGGATATTTGTGAGCCCTTTATGGCCTTTGTTGAAATATGAAATATCTTCACATAAAAAGTAGACAGAAGCTTTCTGACAAATTTCCTTGGTGATGTGCACGTTTGTCACACGGAATTGAACCCTTCTTCTGATTGAGCAGTTTGGAATCAGTCTTTTTGTAGAATCTGTGAATGTGTATTGAGAGAGTTTTAAGGCCTAGGGTGCCAAAGGCAATGTCTTCACATAAAAACGACACAGTAGCTTTTTGAGAAAACTCTTAGTGACATTTCCATTCATCTCTAATAGTTGGCCGTTTCCTTTCATTGAGCAGTTTGGAAGCAGTCTTTTTCTACAAACTGCAAAGGGATATTTCTGAGCGGTTTGGGGCCAACGGTGAAAAATAAATATCTTCCCATGAAAACTAGACAGAAGCATTTTGAGAAACTTCTTTTTGATGTGTGTATTCATCTCACAGAGTTGAACCTTTCTTTAGATTTAGCAATTTGGAGAAAGTCTCTTGGTAGTATAAGTGGAGTTATATTTGCGAGCGGTTTAAGTCCTACGGTGCCAAAGGAAATACCTTCACATAAAATGCAGACAGAGGCTTTCCGAGAAACTTCTTTGTGATGTGTGCTTTCGTCTCACACAGTTGCGCCTTTCTGTTGATTGACCAGTTTGGGAACATTCTTTTTGTAGAATCTGCAAATGGATATTTGGAGCAATTTGTGGCCTACGGGGAAAAAGGAAATATCTTCACATAAAAACTAGACAGGAGAATCCTGAGAAACTTCTTTTTGATGAGTGCATTCATTTCACATAGTTGAAACATGCTATATGGGCCAGTTTGGAAACAGTCTTTTTGTAGAGTCTGCAGACAGGTATGTTTGAGTGGCTTAAAGACCACGGTGAAAAAGGAAACATCTTCACATAGCAACCAGACAGAAGCAACCTGAGAAACTTCTTTGGGATGTGTTCATTCATCTCACAATGTTGAACGTTTCTTTTGATTGAGAAGTTTGTAAAGAGAACTTTTGTAGAATCCGCAAAGGGATATGTGTGAGCCCCTTGATTCCTATGGCAAAATAGGAATTATCTTGAGATAAAAGCGAGACAGAAGATTTCTGAGAAACTTTTTTGTGATGTGTGCTCTCATCTCACAGAGTTGAAAATTTCTTTTGATTGAGCAGTTTGGAAACAGTCCTTTCGTATCATCTGCAAACGGATGTTTGGAGCGCTTTGTGGCCTAAGGTGAAAATGGAAACATCTTCACATAAAAACTAGACAGAAGAATTCTGAGGAACTTCTGTATGATGTGTGCATTCATCTCAGATAGGTGAAATTTTCTTTTGATGGAGCAGTTTGGAAACAGTCTTTTTATAGTATCTGCAGAAGGATATTCGTGAGCGGTGTAAGGCCTATGGTGAAAAAGGAAATATCTTCATATTAAAACCAGACAGAAAGCTTTCTGAGGAACTTCTTTGTGATGTGTGCATTCATCTCACCGTGTTGAAACTTTATTTTATTTGAGCAGTTTAGAGACAGTCTTTCTCTGCAATCTGCAAAGGTCTAATTCTGAGCCCTTTGAGGTCTATGGTGAAAAAGAAATATCTTCACATTTAAACTAGACAGAAGCATTCTGAGGAACTTCTTTGTGATGTCTCCATTCATCTGACAGAGTTGAAGGTTTCTTTTAATTCAGCACTTTGGAAGGCATATTTTTGTAGAATCTGCAAAGGGATATTTTTGAGACATTTGAAGCCTATAGTGAAATAGTAAATATCTTCACATGAAAACTAGACAGGAGAGTTCTGAGAAACTTCATTCTGATGTGTGCATTAACCTCACAGAATTTAACCTTTCTTTTGATTGAGAAGTATGGAAATGGTGGTCTTTTAGAATCTGGAAAGGGATATTTCTTAGCCCTTTGAGGCCTATGGTGAGACTGGAAATATCATCACATGAAAACTAGACCGAAGCTTTCGGACAAACTTCTTTGAGATGTGTGCTTTCACCTCACAGAGTTAAACACTTTCTTTTGATTGAGCAGTTTGGAAACACTCTTTCTGTGACATCTGTAAATGGATATTAGGAGTGCTTTGAGGCCAATGGTGACAAAGGAAGTATCTTCACATAAAAAGTACACAGAAGTTTTCTGAGAAACTACTTTTTGATGTGTCCATTAACCTAACAGAGTTAAAACTTTCTTTTTATTGAGCAGTTTGGGTACAGTCTTTTTGTAGAATCTGCAAAACATATTTGTGAGCCCTTTATTGCCTATGGTGGAATAGGAATCTTCTTCACATATAAACTAGACAGAAGCATTCTGAGGAAGGTCGTCGTGACGTGTGCATTCGTCTCACATAGTTGAAGCTTTCTTTGGATTGAGCAGTTTTGAAACAGTCCTTCTGTAGGATCTGCAAGGGGATATTTCTGAGCCCATTGAGTACTGTGATGCAATGTGAAGTATCTTCACATAAAAACTAGACAGACGCTTTCTAAGAAACTTCGTTGTGATGTGTGCTTTCGTCTCACAGAATTGAAACTATCCTTTGATTGAGGAGTTTGGAAACACTCTTTTTCTAGAGTCTGCAAATGGATATTTGGAGAGCTTTTGAGGTCCGTGGTGAAAAACGAAATATCTTCACGTAAAAACTAAACAGAAGCTTCCTGAGAAACTCCCTTGCGAAGTGTGTGCATTCACCTCACCGAGTGGAAACTTTCTTTTGATTGAGCAGATTGGAAAGAGGCTTATTGTACAATCTGCAAAGGGAGAATTCTGATCCGTTTGAGGCTTCTGGTGAAAGAGAAATATCTTCCCATAAGAACTAGACGGAAGCATTCCAAGAAATTGTTTGTGATGTGTCCATTCACGTCACAGAGTTGAACCTCTCCTTTGATTGATCAGTTTGGAAACAGTCTTTTTGTAGAACCTGCAGAGGGATATTTGTGAGCCCTTTAAGGCCTGTGGTGAAATACGAAGTATCTTCACCTAAAAACTAGACAGAAGGTTTCTGAGAAACTTCTTGGTGATGTGTGCCTTCATCTCACAGTGTTGAACCTTTCTTTTCATTGAGCAGTTTGCAAAGTCTTTCTGTAGAATCTGCAAATGGATATTTGGAGATATTTGAGGCCCGTGGTGAAAAAGGAAGTATCTTCACCTAAAAACCAGACAGAAGATTTCTGAAAAACCTCTTTGTGATGTGTGAATTCATGTCACAGAATTCAACCTTTCTTTCAGTTGAGCATTTTGGAAACAGTCTTTGGTAGAAGCTGCAGAGGGAAATTTCTTAGCTGCTTGAGGCCTATGGTGAAAAAGAAATATCTTCACAGAAAAACTAGACAGAAGCTTTCTGAGAAACTTCTTCGTGATGTGTCCATTCATCTCACAGAGTTAAACCTTTCTTTTGATTGAGGAGTTTGGAAAACGTCTTTTCTTAGAATCTGCGAAGGGATATTTGTGAGCCCTTTATGGCCTTTGTTGCAATATGAAATATCTTCACATAAAAAGTAGACAGAAGCTTTCTGACAAATTTCTTGGTGATGTGCACGTTTGTCACACGGAATTGAACCCTTCTTCTGATTGAGCAGTTTGGATTCAGTCTTTTTGTAGAATCTGTGAATGTGTATTTAGAGAGTTTTAAGGCCTAGGGTGCAAAAGGCAATGTCTTCACATAAAAACGACACAGTAGCTTTTTGAGGAAACTCTTTGTGACATTTCCATTCATCTCTAATAGTTGGCCATTTCCTTTCATTGAGCAGTTTGGAAGCAGTCTTTTTCTACAAACTGCAAAGGGATATTTCTGAGCGGTTTGGGGCCAACGGTGAAAAATAAATATCTTCCCATGAAAACTAGACAGAAGCATTTTGAGAAACTTCTTTTTGATGTGTGTATTCATCTCACAGAGTTGAACCTTTCTTTAGATTTAGCAATTTGGAGAAAGTCTCTTGGTAGTATAAGTGGAGTTATATTTGCGAGCGGTTTAAGGCCTATGGTGCCAAAGGAAATACCTTCACATAAAATGCAGACAGAGGCTTTCCGAGAAACTTCTTTGTGATGTGTGCTTTCGTCTCACAGAGTTGCGCCTTTCTTTTGATTGACCAGTTTGGGAACATTCTTTTTGTAGAATCTGCAAATGGATATTTGGAGCAATTTGTGGCCTACGGTGAAAAAGGAAATATCTTCACATGAAAACTAGACAGGAGAATCCTGAGAAACTTCTTTTTGATGAGTGCATTCATTTCACATAGTTGAAACATGCTATATGGGCCAGTTTGGAAACAGTCTTTTGGTAGAGTCTGCAGACAGATATTTTTGAGGGGCTTAGAGACTATGGTGAAAAAGGAAACATCTTCACATAGCAACCAGACAGAAGCAACCTGAGAAATGTCTTTGGGATGTGTTCATTCATCTCACAATGTTGAACGTTTCTCTTGATTGAGAAGTTTGTAAGGAGAACATTTGTAGAATCTGCAAAGGGGTATATGTGAGCCCCTTGATTCCTATGGCAAAATAGGAATCATCTTGAGATAAAAGCGAGACAGAAGATTTCTGAGAAACTTTTTTGTGATGTGTGCTTTCATCTCACAGAGTTGAAAATTTCTTTTGATTGAGCAGTTTGGAAACAGTCTTTTCGTATCATCTGCAAACGGATGTTTGGAGCGCTTTGTGGCCTAAGGTGAAAATGGAAACATCTTCACATAAAAACTAGACAGAAGAATTCTGAGGAACTTCTTTATGATGTGTGCATTCATCTCACATGGGTGAAATTTTCTTTTGATGGAGCAGTTTGGAAACAGTCTTTTTCTAGTATCTGCAGAAGGATATTTGTGAGCGGTGTAAGGCCTATGGTGAAAAAGGAAATATCTTCACATAAAAACCAGACAGAAGCTTTCTGAGGAACTTCTTTGTGATGTGTGCATTCATCTCACCGTGTTGAAACTTTAAGTTATTTGAGCAGTTTAGAGACAGTCTTTCTCTGCAATCTGCAAAGGTCTAACTCTGAGCCCTTTAAGGTCTATGGTGAAAAAGAAATGTCTTCACATTTAAACTAGACAGAAGCATTCTGAGGAACTTCTTTGTGATGTCTCCATTCATCTGACAGAGTTGAAGGTTTCTTTTAATTCAGCACTTTGGAAAGCATATTTTTGTAGAATCTGCAAAGGGATATTTTTGAGACATTTGAAGCCTATAGTGAAATAGTAAATATCTTCACATGAAAACTAGACAGGAGAATTCTGAGAAACTTCATTCTAATGTGTGCATTCACCTCACAGAATTTAACCTTTATTTTGATTGAGCAGTATGGAAATGGTCCTCTTTTAGAATCTGCAAAGGGATATTTCTTAGCCCTTTGAGGCCTATGGTGAAACTGGAAATATCTTCACATGAAAACTAGACCGAAGCTTTCTGAGAAATTTCTTTGAAATGTGTGCTTTCATCTCACAGAGTTAAAACTTTCTTTTGATTGAGCAGTTTAGAAACACTCTTTTTGTGAAATCTGTAAATGGATATTAGGAGCACTTTGAGGCCAATGGTGACAAAGGATATATCTTCATGTAAAAACTAAACAGAAGTTTTCTGAGAAACTACTTTTTGATGTGTCCATTAATCTAACAGAGTTGAAACTTTCTTTTTATTTAACAGTTTGGATATAGTATTTTTGTAGAATCTGCCAAAAATATTTGTGAGCCCTTTATTGCCTATGGTGAAATAGGAATTTTCTTCACATATAAACTAGACAGAAGCATTCTGAGGAACGTCTTCGTGACGTGTGCATTCATCTCACATAGTTGAAACTTTCTTTGGATTGAGCAGTTTTGAAACAGTCCTTTTGTGGGATCTGCAAGGGGATATTTCTGAGCCCATTGAGTACTGTGATGCAATGTGAAGTATCTTCACATAAAAACTACACAGACGCTTTCTAAGAAACTTCGTTGTGATGTGTGCTTTCATCTCACAGAATTGAAACTATCCTTTGATGGAGGAGTTTGGAAACACTCTTTTTCTAGAATCTGCAAAGGGATATTTGGAGAGCTTTTCAGGCCCGTGGTGAACAACGAAATATCTTCACGTAAAAACTAAACAGAAGCTTTCTGAGAAACTCCCTTGCGATGTGTGCATTCACCTCAGCGAGTGGAAACTTTCTTTTGATTGAGCAGATTGGAAAGAGGCTTATCGTACAATCTGCAAAGGGAGAATTCTGATCCGTTTGAGGCTTATGGTGAAAGAGAAATATCTTCCCATGAGAACTAGACGGAAGCTTTCTGAGAAACTTCTTCATGATGTGTCCATTCATCTCACAGAGTTAAACCTTTCTTTTGATTGAGGAGTTTGGCAAACGTCTTTTCTTAGAATCTGCGAAGGGATATTTGTGAGCCCTTTATGGCCTTTGTTGAAATATGAAATATCTTCACATAAAAAGTAGACAGAAGATTTCTGAGAAAATTCTTTCTGATGTGTGCTTTCATCTCACAGTGTTGAACCTTTCTTTTGATTGAGCAGTTTGGAAAGTCTGTTTGTCGAATCTGCAAATGGATATTTGGAACTATTTGAGGCCCATGGTGAAAAAGAAAGTATCTTCACATAAAAACTAGACAGAAGATTTCTGAGAAACTTCTTTGTGTTGTGTAAATTCATGTCACAGAATTCAACCTTTCTTTCGATTGAGCAGTTTGGAAACAGTATTTTGTAGAAGCTGCAAAGGGAAATTTCTTAGCCGTTTGAGTCCTATAGTGAAAAAGAAATATCTTCACATAAAAACTAGACAGAAGCTTTCTGAGAAACTTCTTCGTGATGTGTCCATTCATCTCACAGTGTTAAACCTTTCTTTTGAGTGAGGAGTTTGGAAAACGTCTTTTCTTAGAATCTGCGAAGGGATATTTGTGAGCCCTTTAAGGCCTTTGTTGAAATATGAAATATCTTCACATAAAAAGTAGACAGAAGCTTTCTGACAAATTTCTTTGTGATGTGCAAGTTTGTCACACGGAATTGAACCCTTATTCTGATTGAGCAGTTTGGAATCAGTCTTTTTGTAGAATCTGTGAATGTGTATTTAGGGAGTTTTAAGGCCTAGGGTGCAAAAGGCAATGTCTTCACATAAAAACGACACAGTAGCTTTTCGAGAAAACTCTTTGCGACATTTCCATTCATCTCTAATAGTTGACCATTTCCTTTCATTCAGCAGCTTGGAAGCAGTCTTTTTCTACAAACTGCAAAGGGATATTTCTGAGCGGTTTGGGGCCAATGGTGAAAAATAAATATCTTCCCATGAAAACTAGACAGAAGCATTTTGAGAAACTTCTTTTGATGTGTGTATTCATCTCACAGAGTTGAACCTTTCTTTTGATTTAGCAATTTGGAGAAAGTCTCTTGGTAGTATAAGTGGAGTTATATTTGCGAGCGGTTTAAGGCCTATGGTGCCAAAGGAAATACCTTCACATAAAATGTAGACAGAGGCTTTCCGAGAAACTTCTTTGTGATGTGTGCTTTCGTCTCACAGAGTTGCGCCTTTCTTTTGATTGACCAGTTTGGGAACATTCTTTTTGTAGAATCTGCAAATGGATATTTGGAGCAATTTGTGGCCTATGGTGAAAAAGGAAATATCTTCACATAAAAACTAGACAGGAGAATCCTGAGAAACTTCTTTTTGATGAGTGCATTCATTTCACATAGTTGAAACATGCTATGTGGGCCAGTTTGGAAACAGTCTTTTGGTAGAGTCTGCAGACAGATATTTTTGAGTGGCTTAAAGACTATGGTGAAAAAGGAAACATCTTCACATAGCAACCAGACAGAAGCAACCTGAGAAACGTGTTTGGGATGTGTTCATTCATCTCACAATGTTGAACGTTTCTTTTGATTGAGAAGTTTGTAAGGAGAACTTTTGTAGCATCTGCAAAGGGGTATATGTGAGCCCCTTGATTCTTATGGCAAAATAGGAATTATCTTGAGATAAAAGCGAGACAGAAGATTTCTGAGAAACTTTTTTGTGATGTGTGCTTTCATCTCACAGAGTTGAAAATTTCTTTTGATTGAGCAGTTTGGAAACAGTCTTTTCGTATCATCTGCAAATGGATGTTTGGGGCGCTTTGTGGCCTAAGGTGAAAATGGAAACACCTTCACATAAAAACTAGACAGAAGAATTCTGAGGAACTTCTTTATGATGTGTGCATTCATCTCAGATAGGTGAAATTTTCTTTTGATGGAGCAGTTTGGAAACCGTCTTTTTATAGTATCTGCAGAAGGATACTTGTGAGCGGTGTAAGGCCTATGGTGAAAAAGGAAATATCTTCACATAAAAACCAGACAGAAGCTTTCTGAGAAACTTCTTTGTGATGTGTGCATTCATCTCACAGTGTTGAAACTTTATTTTATTTGAGCAGTTTAGAGACAGTCTATTTCTGCAATCTGCAAAGGCATATTTCTGAGCCATTTGAGGTCTGTGGTGAAAGAGAAATATCTTCACATTTAAACTAGACAGAAGCATTCCGAGGAACTTCTTTGTGATGTCTCTATTCATCTGACAGATTTGAAGGTTTCTTTTAATTCAGCACTGTGGAAACCATATTTTTGTAGAATCTGCAAAGGGATATTTTTGAGACCTTTGAAGCCTATAGTGAAATAGTAAATATCTTCACATAGAAACTAGACAGGAGAATTCTGAGAAACTTCATTCTGATGTGTGCATTAACCTCACAGAATTTAACGTTTCTTTTGATTGAGAAGTATGGAAATGGTGGTCTTTTAGAACCTGGAAAGGGATATTTCTTAGCCCTTTGAGGCCTATGGTGAGACTGGAAATATCATCACATGAAAACTAGTCCGAAGCTTTCTGAGAAACTTCTTGGAGATGTGTGCTTTCACCTCACAGAGTTAAACACTTTCTTTTGATTGAGCTGTTTGGAAACACTCTTTTTGTGAAATCTGTAAATGGATATTAGGAGTGCTTTGAGGCCAATGGTGACAAAGGAAATATCTTCACATAAAAACTAAACAGAAGTTTTCTGAGAAACTACTTTTTGATATGTCCATTAACCTAACAGAGTTAAAACCTTCTTTTTATTGAGCAGTTTGGATACAGTCCTTTTGTACAATCTGCAAAACATATTTGTGAGCCCTTTATTGCCTATGGTGAAATAGGAATCTTCTTCACATATAAACTAGACAGAAGCATTCTGAGGAACTTCTTCGTGACGTGTGCATTCGTCTCACATAGTTGAAGCTTTCTTTGGATTGAGCAGTTCTGAAACAGTCCTTTTGTAGGATCTGCAAGGGGATATTTCTGAGCCCATTGAGTACTGTGATGCAATGTGAAGTATCTTCACATAAAAACTAGACAGACGCTTTCTAAGAAACTTCGTTGTGATGTGTGCTTTCATCTCACAGAATTGAAACTATCCTTTGATTGAGGAGTTTGGAAACACTCTTTTTCTAGAATCTGCAAATGGATATTTGGAGAGCTTTTGAGGCCCGTGGTGAAAAACGAAATATCTTCACGTAAAAACTAAACAGAAGCTTCCTGAGAAACTCCCTTGCGATGTGTGCATTCACCTCACCGAGTGGAAACTTTCTTTTGATTGAGCAGATTGGAAAGAGGCTTATTGTACAATCTGCAAAGGGAGAATTCTGATCCGTTTGAGGCTTCTGGTGAAAGAGAAATATCTTCCCATAAGAACTAGACGGAAGCATTCCAAGAAATTGTTTGTGATGTGTCCATTCACGTCACAGAGTTGAACCTCTCCTTTGATTGATCAGTTTGGAAACAGTCTTTTTGTAGAACCTGCAGAGGGATATTTGTGAGCCCTTTAAGGCCTGTGGTGAAATACAAAGTATCTTCACCTAAAAACTAGACAGAAGGTTTCTGAGAAACTTCTTGGTGATGTGTGCCTTCATCTTACCGTGTTGAACCTTTCTTTTGATTGAGCAGTTTGGAAAGTCTTTCTGTAGAATCTGCAAATGGATATTTGGAGATATTTGAGGCCCGTGGTGAAAAAGGAAGTATCGTCACCTAAAAACCAGACAGAAGATTTCTGAAAAACCTCTTTGTGATGTGTGAATTCATGTCACAGAATTCAACCTTTCTTTCAGTTGAGCAGTTTGGAAACAGTCTTTGGTAGAAGCTGCAGAGGGCAATTTCTTAGCTGCTTGAGGCCTATGGTGAAAAAGAAATATCTTCACAGAAAAACTAGACAGAAGCTTTCTAAGAAACTTCTTTGTGATGTGTCCATTCATCTCACAGAGTTAAACCTTTCTTTTGATTGAGGAGTTTGGAAAATGTCTTTTCTTAGAATCTACAAAGGGATATTTGTGAGCCCTTTATGGCCTATGTTGAAATATGAAATATCTTCACATAAAAACTAGACAGAAGCTTTCTGACAAATTCCTTGGTGATGTGCACGTTTGCCACACGGAATTGAACCCTTCTTCTGATTGAGCAGTTTGGAATCAGTCCTTTTGTAGAATCTGTGAATGTGTACTGAGAGAGTTTTAAGGCCTAGGGTGCCAAAGGCAATGTCTTCACATAAAAACGACACAGTAGCTTTTTGAGAAAACTCTTTGTGACATTTCCATTCATCTCTAATAGTTGGCCATTTCCTTACATTGAGCAGTTTGGAAGCAGTCTTTTTCTACAAACTGCAAAGGGATATTTCTGAGCGGTTTGGGGCCAACGGTGAAAAATAAATATCTTCCCATGAAAACTAGACGGAAGCATTTTGAGAAACTTCTTTTTGATGTGTGTATTCATCTCACAGGGTTGAAACTTTCTTTTGATTTAGCAATTTGGAGAAAGTCTCTTGGTAGTATAAGTGGAGTCATATTTGCGAGCGGTTTAAGGCCTATGGTGCCAAAGGAAATACCTTCACATAAAATGTAGACAGAGGCTTTCCGAGAAACTTCTTTGTGATGTGTGCTTTCGTCTCACAGAGTTGCGCCTTTCTGTTGATTGACCAGTTTGGGAACATTCTTTTTGTAGAATCTGCAAATGGATATTTGGAGCAATTTGTGGCCTACGGTGAAAAAGGAAATATCTTCACATAAAAACTAGACAGGAGACTCCTGAAAAACTACTTTTTGATGAGTGCATTCGTTTCACATAGTTGAAACATGCCATATGGGCCAGTTTGGAAAGAGTCTTTTTGTAGAGTCTGCAGACAGATATTTTTGAGTGGCTTAAAGGCTATGGTGAAAAAGGAAACATCTTCACATAGCAACCAGACAGAAGCAACTTGAGAAATGTCTTTGGGATGTGTTCATTCATCTCACAATGTTGAACGTTTCTCTTGATTGAGAAGTTTGTAAGGAGAACATTTGTAGAATCTGCAAAGGGGTATATGTGAGCCCCTTGATTCCTATGGCAAAATAGGAATCATCTTGAGATAAAAGCGAGACAGAAGATTTCTGAGAAACTTTTTAGTGATGTGTGCTTTCATCTCACAGAGTTGAAAATTTCTCTTGATTGAGCAGTTTGGAAACAGTCTCTTCGTATCATCTGCAAACGGATGTTTGGGGCGCTTTGTGGCCTAAGGTGAAAATGGAAACATCTTCACATAAAAACTAGACAGAAGAATTCTGAGGAACTTCTGTATGATGTGTGCATTCATCTCAGATAGGTGAAATTTTCTTTTGATGGAGCAGTTTGGAAACAGTCTTTTTATAGTATCTGCAGAAGGATATTTGTGAGCGGTGTAAGGCCTATGGTGAAAAAGGAAATATCTTCACATAAAAACCAGACAGAAGCTTTCTGAGGAACTTCTTTGTGATGTGTGCATTCATCTCACCGTGTTGAAACTTTATGTTATTTGAGCAGTTTAGAGACAGTCTTTCTCTGCAATCTGCCAAGGTCCAACTCTGAGCCCTTTGAGGTCTATGGTGAAAAAGAAATGTCTTCACATTTCAACTAGACAGAAGCATTCCGAGGAACTTCTTTGTGATGTCCCCATTCATCTGACAGAGTTGAAGGTTTCTTTTAATTCAGCACTGTGGAAACCATATTTTTGTAGAATCTGCAAAGGGATATTTTTGAGACCTTTGAAGCCTATAGTGAAATAGTAAATATCTTCACATAGAAACTAGACAGGGAGAATTCTGAGAAACTTCATTCTGATGTGTGCATTCACCTCACAGAATTTAACCTTTCTTTTGATTGAGCAGTATGGAAATGTTCGTCTTTTAGAATTTGGAAAGGGATATTTCTTAGCCCTTTGAGGCCTATGGTGAAACTGGAAATATCTTCACATGAAAACTAGACCAAAGCTTTCTGAGAAAGTTCTTTGAGATGTGTGCTTTCATCTCACAGAGTTAAAACTTTCTTTTGATTGAGCAGTTTGGAAACACTCTTTTTGTGATATCTGTAAATGGATATTAGGAGTGCTTTGAGGCCAATGGTGACAAAGGAAATATCCTCACATAAAAACTAAACAGAAGTTTTCTTGAGAAACTACTTTTTGATGTGTCCATTAACCTAACAGAGTTAAAACTTTCTTTTTATTGAGCAGTTTGGGTACAGTCTTTTTGTAGAATCTGCAAAACATATTTGTGAGCCCTTTATTGCCTATGGTGGAATAGGAATCTTCTTCACATATAAACTAGACAGAAGCATTCTGAGGCACTTCTTCGTGACGTGTGCATTCGTCTCACATAGTTGAAACTTTCTTTGGATTGAGCAGTTTTGAAACAGTCCTTTTGTAGGATCTGCAAGGGGATATTTCTGAGCCCCTTGTGTACTGTGATGCAATGTGAAGTATCTTCACATAAAAACTTCACAGAAGCTTTCTAAGAAACTTCGTTGTGATGTGTGCTTTCATCTCACAGAATTGAAACTATCCTTTGATTGAGGAGTTTGGAAACACTCTTTTTCTAGAATCTGCAAATGGATATTTGGAGAGCTTTTGAGGCCAGTGGTGAAAAACGAAATATCTTCACGTAAAAACTAAACAGAAGCTTTCTGAGAAACTCCCTTGCGATGTGTGCATTCACCTCACCGAGTGGAAACTTTCTTTTGATTGAGCAGATTGGAAAGAGGCTTATCGTACAATCTGCAAAGGGAGAATTCTGATCCGTTTGAGGCTTATGGTGAAAGAGAAATATCTTCCCATAAGAACTAGACGGAAGCATTCCAAGAAATTTTTTGTGATGTGTCCATTTACGTCACAGAGTTGAACCTCTCCTTTGATTGGGCAGTTTGGGAACAGTCTTTTTGTAGAACCTGCAGAGGGATATTTGTGAGCCCTTTATGGCCTGTGGTGAAATACGAAGTATCTTCACCTAAAAACTAGACAGAAGGTTTCTGAGAAACTTCTTGGTGATGTGTGCCTTCATCTCACAGTGTTGAACCCTTCTTTTGATTGAGCAGTTTGCAAAGTCTTTCTGTAGAATCTGCAAATGGATATTTGGAGATATTTGAGGCCCGTGGTGAAAAAGGAAGTATCTTCACCTAAAAACCAGACAGAAGATTTCTGAAAAACCTCTTTGTGATGTGTGAATTTATGTCACAGAATTCAACCTTTCTTTCAGTTGAGCAGTTTGGAAACAGTCTTTGGTAGAAGCTGCAGAGGGAAATTTCTTAGCTGCTTGAGGCCTATGGTGAAAAAGAAATATCTTCACAGAAAAACTAGACAGAAGCTTTCTGAGAAACTTCTTTGTGATGTGTCCATTCATCACACAGAGTGAAACCTTTCTTTTGATTGAGGAGTTTGGAAAATGTCTTTCCTTAGAATCTGCAAAGGGATATTTGTGAGCCCTTTATGGCCTTTGTTGAAATATGAAATATCTTCACATAAAAAGTAGACAGAAGCTTTCTGACAAATTCCTTGGTGATGTGCACGTTTGTCACACGGAATTGAACCCTTCTTCTGATTGAGCAGTTTGGAATCAGTCTTTTTGTAGAATCTGTGAATGTGTATTGAGAGAGTTTTAAGGCCTAGGGTGCCAAAGGCAATGTCTTCACATAAAAACGACACAGTAGCTTTTTGAGAAAACTCTTTGTGACATTTCCATTCATCTCTAATAGTTGACCATTTCCTTTCATTGAGCAGTTTGGAAGCAGTCTTTTTCTACAAACTGCAAAGGGATATTTCGGAGCGGTTTGGGGCCAACGGTGAAAAATAAATATCTTCCCATGAAAACTAGACAGAGAAGCATTTTGAGAAACTTCTTTTTGATGTGTGTATTCATCTCACAGAGTTGAACCTTTCTTTTGATTTAGCAATCTGGAGAATGTCTCTAGGTAGTATAAGTGGAGTTATGTTTGCGAGCGGTTTAAGTCCTATGGTGCCAAAGGAAATACCTTCACATAAAATGTAGACAGAAGCTTTCCGGGAAACTTCTTTGTGATGTGTGCTTTCGTCTCACAGAGTTGCGCCTTTCTTTTGATTGACCAGTTTGGGAACATTCTTTTTGTAGAATCTGCAAATGGATATTTGGAGCAATTTGTGGCCTACAGTGAAAAAGGAAATATCTTCACATAAAAACTAGACAGGAGAATCCTGAGGAACTCCTTTTTGATGAGTGCATTCATTTCACATAGTTGAAACATGCTATATGGGCCAGTTTGGAAACAGTCTTTTTGTAGAGTCTGCAGACAGGTATTTTAGAGTGGCTTAAAGACTATGGTGAAAAAGGAAACATCTTCACATAGCAACCAGACAGAAGCAACCTGAGAAACGTCTTTGGGATGTGTTCATTCATCTCACAATGTTGAACGTTTCTTTTGATTGAGAAGTTTTTAAGGAGAACTTTTGTAGAATCTGCAAAGGGATATATGTGAGCCCCTTGATTCCTATGGCAAAATAGGAATTATCTTGAGATAAAAGCGAGACAGAAGATTTCTGAGCAAACTTCTTTGTGATGTGTGCTTTCATCTCACAGAGTTGAAAATTTCTTTTGATTGAGCAGTTTGGAAACAGTCTTTTTGTATAATCTGCAAATGGATATTTGGAGCACTTTGTGGCCTAAGGTGAAAATGGAAATATCTTCACATAAAAACTAGACAGAAGAATTCTGAGGAACTTCTGTATGATGTGTGCATTCATCTCAGTATAGGTGAAATTTTCTTTTGATGGAGCAGTTTGGAAACAGTCTTTTTATAGTATCTGCAGAAGGATATTCGTGAGCGGTGTAAGGCCTATGGTGAAAAAGGAAATATCTTCACATTAAAACCAGACAGAAGCTTTCTGAGGAACTTCTTTGTGATGTGTGCATTCATCTCACCGTGTTGAAACTTTATGTTATTTGAGCAGTTTAGAGACAGTCTTTCTCTGCAATCTGCAAAGGTCTAACTCTGAGCCCTTTGAGGTCTATGGTGAAAAAGAAATGTCTTCACATTTAAACTAGACAGAAGCATTCTGAGGAACTTCTTTGTGATGTCTCCATTCATCTGAGAGAGTTGAAGGTTTCTTTTAATTCAGCACTTTGGAAAGCATATTTTTGTAGAATCTGCAAAGGGATATTTTTGAGACATTTGAAGCCTATAGTGAAATAGTAAATATCTTCACATGAAAACTAGACAGGAGAATTCTGAGAAACTTCATTCTGATATGTGCATTAACCTCACAGAATGTAACCTTTCTTTTGATTGAGAAGTATGGAAATGGTGGTCTTTTAGAATCTGGAAAGAGATATTTCTTAGCCCTTTGAGGCCTATGGTGAGACTGGAAATATCATCACATGAAAACTAGACCGAAGCTTTCGGAGAAACTTCTTTGAGATGTGTGCTTTCACCTCACAGAGTTAAACACTTTCTTTTAATTGAGCAGTTTGGAAACACTCTTTCTGTGACATCTGTAAATGGATATTAGGAGTGCTTTGAGGCCAATGGTGACAAAGGAAGTATCTTCACATAAAAACTACACAGAAGTTTTCTGAGAAACTACTTTTTGATGTGTCCATTAACCTAACAGAGTTAAAACTTTCTTTTTATTGAGCAGTTTGGATACAGTCCTTTTGTAGAATCTGCAAAACATATTTGTGAGCCCTTTATTGCCTATGGTGAAATAGGAATCTTCTTCACATATAAACTAGACAGAAGCATTCTGAGGAAGGTCTTCGTGACGTGTGCATTCGTGTCACATAGTTGAAGCTTTCTTTGGATTGAGCAGTTTTGAAACAGTCCTTTTCTAGGATCTGCAAGGGGATATTTCTGAGCCCATTGAGTACTGTGATGCAATGTGAAGTATCTTCACATAAAAACTAGACAGACGCTTTCTAAGAAACTTCGTTGTGATGTGTGCTTTCATCTCACAGAATTGAAACTATGCTTTGATTGAGGAGTTTGGAAACACTCTTTTTCTAGAATCTGCAAATGGATATTTGGAGAGCTTTTGAGGCCAGTGGTGAAAAACGAAATATCTTCACGTAAAAACTAAACAGAAGCTTTCTGAGAAACTCCCTTGCGATGTGTGCATTCACCTCACCCAGTGGAAACTTTCTTTTGATTGAGCAGATTGGAAAGAGGCTTATCGTACAATCTGCAAAGGGAGAATTCTGATCCGTTTGAGGCTTATGGTGAAAGAGAAATATCTTCCCATAAAAACTAGACGGAAGCATTCCAAGTAATTTTTTATGATGTGTCCATTCACGTCACAGAGTTGAACCTCTCCTTTGATTGAGCAGTTTGGAAACAGTCTTTTTGTAGAACCTGCAAAGGGATATTTGTGAGCCCTTTATGGCCTGTGGTGAAATACGAAGTATCTTCACCTAAAAACTAGACAGAAGGTTTCTGAGAAACTTCTTGGTGATGGGTGCCTTCATCTCACAGTGTTAAACCTTTCTTTTGATTGAGCAGTTTGCAACGTCTTTCTGTAGAATCTGCAAATGGATATTTGGAGATATTTGAGGCCCGTGGTGAAAAAGGAAGTATCTTCACCTAAAAAACAGACAGAAGATTTCTGAAAAACCTCTTTGTGATGTGTGAATTCATGTCACAGAATTCAACCTTTCTTTCAGGTGAGCAGTTTGGAAACAGTCTTTGGTAGAAGCTGCAGAGGGAAATTTTTTAGCTGCTTGAGGCCTATTGTGGAAAAGAAATATCTTCACAGAAAAACTAGACAGAAGCTTTCTGAGAAACTTCTTCGTGATGTGTCCATTCATCTCACAGAGTTAAACCTTTCTTTTGGTTGAGGAGTTTGGAAAACGTCTTTTCTTAGAATCTGCGAAGGGATATTTGTGAGTCCTTTATGGCCTTTGTTGAAATATGAAATATCTTCACATAAAAAGTAGACAGAAGCTTTCTGACAAATTCCTTGGTGATGTGCACGTTTGCCACACGGAATTGAACCCTTCTTCTGATTGAGCAGTTTGGAATCAGTCTTTTTGTAGAATCTGTGAATGTGTATTTAGAGAGTTTTAAGGCCTAGGGTGCCAAAGGCAATGTCTTCACATAAAAACGACACAGTAGCTTTTTGAGAAAACTCTCTGCGACATTTCCATTCATCTCTGATAGTTGACCATTTCCTTTCATTGAGCAGTTTGGAAGCAGTCTTTTTCTACAAACTGCAAAGGGATATTTCTGAGCGGTTTGGGGCCAACGGTGAAAAATAAATATCTTCCCATGAAAACTAGACAGAAGCATTTTGAGAAACTTCTTTTTGATGTGTGTATTCATCTCACAGAGTTGAACCTTTCTTTTGATTTAGCAATCTGGAGAAAGTCTCTAGGTAGTATAAGTGGAGTTATATTTGCGAGCGGTTTAAGGCCTATGGTGCCAAAGGAAATACCTTCACATAAAATGTAGACAGAGGCTTTCCGAGAAACTTTCTTTGTGATGTGTGCTTTCGTCTCACAGAGTTGCGCCTTTCTTTTGATTGACCAGTTTGGGAACATTCTTTTTGTAGAATCTGCAAATGGATATTTGGAGCAATTTGTGGCCTACGGTGAAAAAGGAAATATCTTCACATAAAAACTAGACAGGAGAATCCTGAGAAACTTCTTTTTGATGAGTGCATTCATTTCACATAGTTGAAACATGCTATATGGGCCAGTTTGGAATCAGTCTTACTGTAGAGTCCGCAGACAGGTATTTTTGAGTGGCTTAAAGACCATGGTGAAAAAGGAAACATCTTCACATAGCAACCAGACAGAAGCAACCTGAGAAACGTCTTTGGGATGTGTTCATTCATCTCACAATGTTGAACGTTTCTCTTGATTGAGAAGTTTGTAAGGAGAACATTTGTAGAATCTGCAAAGGGGTATATGTGAGCCCCTTGATTCCTATGGCAAAATAGGAATCATCTTGAGATAAAAGCGAGACAGAAGATTTCTGAGAAACTTTTTTGTGATGTGTGCTTTCATCTCACAGAGTTGAAAATTTCTCTTGATTGAGCAGTTTGGAAACAGTCTCTTCGTATCATCTGCAAACGGATGTTTGGGGCGCTTTGTGGCCTAAGGTGAAAATGGAAACATCTTCACATAAAAACTAGACAGAAGAATTCTGAGGAACTTCTTTATGATGTGTGCATTCATCTCAGATGGGTGAAATTTTCTTTTGATGGAGCAGTTTGGAAACAGTCTTTTTCTAGTATCTGCAGAAGGATATTTGTGAGCGGTGTAAGGCCTATGGTGAAAAAGGAAATATCTTCACATAAAAACCAGACAGAAGCTTTCTGAGGAACTTCTTTGTGAGGTGTGCATTTATCTCACCGTGTTGAAACTTTATTTTATTTGAGCAGTTTAGAGACAGTCTTTCTCTGCAATCTGCAAAGGTCTAATTCTGAGCCCTTTGAGGTCTATGGTGAAAAAGAAATGTCTTCACATTTAAACTAGACAGAAGCATTCTGAGGAACTTCGTTGTGATGCCTCCATTCATCTGACAGAGTTGAAGGTTTCTTTTAATTCAGCACTTTGGAAAGCATATTTTTGTAGAATCTGCAAAGGGATATTTTTGAGACATTTGAAGCCTATAGTGAAATAGTAAATATCTTCACATGAAAACTAGACAGGAGAATTCTGAGAAACTTCATTCTGATGTGTGCATTAACCTCACAGAATGTAACCTTTCTTTTGATTGAGAAGTATGGAAATGGTGGTCTTTTAGAATCTGGAAAGGGATATTTCTTACCCCTTTGAGGCCTATGGTGAGACTGGAAATATCATCACATGAAAACTAGACCGAAGCTTTCGGAGAAACTCCTTTGAGATGTGTGCTTTCACCTCACAGAGTTAAACACTTTCTTTTGATGGAGCAGTTTGGAAACACTCTTTCTGTGACATCTGTAAATGGATATTAGGAGTGCTTTGAGGCCAATGGTGACAAAGGAAGTATCTTCACAGAAAAACTACACAGAAGTTTTCTGAGAAACTACTTTTTGATGTGTCCATTAACCTAACAGAGTTAAAACTTTCTTTTTATTGAGCAGTTTGGATACAGTCTTTTTGTAGAATCTGCAAAACATATTTGTGAGCCCTTTATTGCCTATGGTGGAATAGGAATCTTCTTCACATATAAACTAGACAGAAGCATTCTGAGGAACTTCTTCGTGACGTGTGCATTCGTCTCACATAGTTGAAACTTTCTTTGGATTGAGCAGTTTTGAAACAGTCCTTTTGTAGGATCTGCAAGGGGATATTTCTGAGCCCATTGAGTACTGTGATGCAATGTGAAGTATCTTCACATAAAAACTGGACAGAAGCTTTCTAAGAAACTTCGTTGTGATGTGTGCTTTCATCTCACAGAATTGAAACTATCCTTTGATTGAGGAGTTTGGAAACACTCTTTTTCTAGGATCTGCAAATGGATATTTGGAGAGCTTTAGAGGCCCGTGGTGAAAAACGAAATATCTTCACGTAAAAACTAAACAGAAGCTTTCTGAGAAACTCCCTTGCGTTGTGTGCATTCACCTCACCGAGAGGAAACTTTCTTTTGATTGAGCAGATTGGAAAGAGGCTTATCGTACAATCTGCAAAGGGAGAATTCTGATCCGTTTGAGGCTTATGGTGAAAGAGAAATATCTTCCCATAAAAACTAGACGGAAGCATTCCAAGAAATTGTTTGTGATGTGTCCATTCACGTCACAGAGTTGAACCTCTCCTTTGATTGAGCAGTTTGGAAACAGTCTTTTTGTAGAACCTGCAAAGGGATATTTGTGAGCCCTTTATGGCCTGTGGTGAAATACGAAGTATCTTCACCTAAAAACTAGACAGAAGGTTTCTGAGAAACTTCTTGGTGATGTGTGCCTTCATCTCACAGTGTTGAACCTTTCTTTTGATTGAGCAGTTTGGAAAGTCTTTCTGTAGAATCTGCAAATGGATATTTGGAGATATTTGAGGCCCGTGGTGAAAAAGGAAGTATCGTCACCTAAAAACCAGACAGAAGATTTCTGAAAAACCTCTTTGTGATGTGTGAATTCATGTCACAGAATTCAACCTTTCTTTCAGTTGAGCAGTTTGGAAACAGTCTTTGGTAGAAGCTGCAGAGGGAAATTTCTTAGCTGCTTGAGGCCTATGGTGAAAAAGAAGTATCTTCACAGAAAAACTAGACAGAAGCTTTCTGAGAAACTTCTTCGTGATGTGTCCATTCATCTCACAGTGTTAAACCTTTCTTTTGAGTGAGGAGTTTGGAAAACGTCTTTTCTTAGAATCTGCGAAGGGATATTTGTGAGCCCTTTATGGCCTTTGTTGAAATATGAAATATCTTCACATAAAAAGTAGACAGAAGCTTTCTGACAAATTTCTTGGTGATGTGCACGTTTGTCACACGGAATTGAACCCTTCTTCTGATTGAGCAGTTTGGAATCAGTCTTTTTGTAGAATCTGTGAATGTGCATTTAGAGAGTTTTAAGGCCTAGTGTGCAAAAGGCAATGTCTTCACATAAAAACGACACAGTGGCTTTTTGAGAAAACTCTTTGTGACATTTCCATTCATCTCTAATAGTTGGCCATTTCCTTACATTGAGCAGTTTGGAAGCAGTCTTTTTCTACAAACTGCAAAGGGATATTTCTGAGCGGTTTGGGGCCAACGGTGAAAAATAAATATCTTCCCATGAAAACTAGACAGAAGCATTTTGAGAAACTTCTTTTTGATGTGTGTATTCATCTTACAGAGTTGAACCTTTCTTTTGATTTAGCAATTTGGAGAAAGTCTCTTGGTAGTATAAGTGGAGTTATATTTGCGAGCGGTTTAAGGCCTATGGTGCCAAAGGAAATACCTTCACATAAAATGCAGACAGAAGCTTTCTGAGAAACTTCTTTGTGATGTGTGCTTTCGTCTCACAGAGTTGAGCCTTTCTGTTGATTGACCAGTTTGGAAACATTCTTTCTGTAGAATCCGCAAATGGATATTTGGAGCAATTTGCGGCCTGCGGTGAAGAAGGAAATATCTTCACATAAAAACTAGACAGAAGAATCCTGAGAAACTTCTTTTTGATGAGTGCATTCATTTCACATAGTTGAAACATGCTATATGGGCCAGTTTGGAAACAGTCTTTTGGTAGAGTCTGCAGACAGATATTTTTGAGGGGCTTAAGGACTATGGTGAAAAAGGAAACATCTTCACATAGCAACCAGACAGAAGCAACCTGAGAAACGTCTTTGGGATGTGTTCATTCACTTCACAATGATGAACGTTTCTTTTGATTGAGAAGTTTGTAAGGATAACTTTTGTAGAATCTGCAAAGGGATATATGTGAGCCCCTTGATTCCTATGGCAAAATAGGAATTATCTTGAGATAAAAGCCAGACAGAAGATTTCTGAGAAACTTTTTTGTGATGTGTACTTTCATCTCACAGAGTTGAAAAATTCTTTTGATTGAGCAGTTTGGAAACAGTCTTTTCGTATCATCTGCAAATGGATGTTTGGGGCGCTTTGTGGCCTAAGGTGAAAATGGAAACACCTTCACATAAAAACTAGACAGAAGAATTCTGAGGAACCTCTTTATGATGTGTGCATTCATCTCAGATGGGTGAAATTTTCTTTTGATGGAGCAGTTTGGAAACAGTCTTTTTCTAGTATCTGCAGAAGGATATTTGTGAGCGGTGTAAGGCCTATGGTGAAAAAGGAAATATCTTCACATAAAAAACAGACAGAAGCTTTCTGAGGAACTTTTTGTGAGGTGTGCATTCATCTCACCGTGTTGAAACTTTATTTTATTTGAGCAGTTTAGAGACAGTCTTTCTCTGCAATCTGCAAAGGTCTAATTCTGAGCCCTTTGAGGTCTATGGTGAAAAAGAAATATCTTCCCATTTAAACTAGACAGAAGCATTCTGAGGAACTTCGTTGTGATGCCTCTCCATTCATCGGACAGAGTTGAAGGTTTCTTTTAATTCAGCACTTTGGAAAGCATATTTTTGTAGAATCTGCAAAGGGATATTTTTGAGACATTTGAAGCCTAGAGTGAAATAGTAAATATCTTCCCATGAAAACTAGACAGGAGAATTCTGAGAAACTTCATTCTGATGTGTGCATTAACCTCACAGAATTTAACCTTTCTTTTGATTGAGAAGTATGGAAATGGTGGTCTTTTAGAACCTGGAAAGGGATATTTCTTAGCCCTTTGAGGCCTATGGTGAGACTGGAAATATCATCACATGAAAACTAGTCCGAAGCTTTCGGAGAAACTTCTTTGAGATGTGTGCTTTCACCTCACAGAGTTAATCACTTTCTTTTGATTGAGCAGTTTGGAAACACTCTTTCTGTGACATCTGTAAATGGATATTAGGAGTGCTTTGAGGCCAATGGTGACAAAGGAAATATCTTCACATAAAAACTACACAGAAGTTTTCTGAGAAACTACTTTTTGATGTGTCCATTAACCTAAAAGAGTTAAAACTTTCTTTTTATTGAGCAGTTTGGATACAGTCCTTTTGTAGAATCTGCAAAACATATTTGTGAGCCCTTTATTGCCTATGGTGAAATAGGAATCTTCTTCACATATAAACTAGACAGAAGCATTCTGAGGAACGTCTTCGTGACGTGTGCATTCATCTCACATAGTTGAAACTTTCTTTGGATTGAGCAGTTTTGAAACAGTCCTTTTGTAGGATCTGCAAGGGGATATTTCTGAGCCCATTGAGTACTGTGATGCAATGTGAAGTATCTTCACATAAAAACTACACAGACGCTTTCTAAGAAACTTCGTTGTGATGTGTGCTTTCATCTCACAGAATTGAAACTATCGTTTGATTGAGGAGTTTGGAAACACTCTTTTTCTAGAATCTGCAAATGGATATTTGGAGAGCTTTTGAGGCCCGTGGTGAAAAACGAAATATCTTCACGTAAAAACTAAACAGAAGCTTTCTGAGAAACTCCCTTGCGATGTGTGCATTCACCTCACCGAGTGGAAACTTTCTTTTGATTGAGCAGATTGGAAAGAGGCTTATCGTACAACCTGCAAAGGGAGAATTCTGATCCGTTTGAGGCTTATGGTGAAAGAGAAATATCTTCCCATAAAAACTAGACGGAAGCATTCCAAGAAATTTTTTGTGATGTGTCCATTCACGTCACAGAGTTGAACCTCTCCTTTGATTGAGCAGTTTGGAAACAGTCTTTTTGTAGAACCTGCAAAGGGATATTTGTGAGCCCTTTATGGCCTGTGGTGAAATACGAAGTATCTTCACCTAAAAACTAGACAGAAGGTTTCTGAGAACCTTCTTGGTGATGTGTGCCTTCATCTCACAGTGTTGAACCTTTCTTTTGATTGAGCAGTTTGCAAAGTCTTTCTGTAGAATCTGCAAATGGATATTTGGAAATATTTGAGGCCCGTGGTGAAAAAGGAAGTATCTTCACCTAAAAACCAGACAGAAGATTTCTGAAAAACCTCTTTGTGATGTGTGAATTCATGTCACAGAATTCAACCTTTCTTTCAGGTGAGCAGTTTGGAAACAGTCTTTGGTAGAAGCTGCAGAGGGAAATTTCTTAGCTGCTTGAGGCCTATGGTGAAAAAGAAATATCTTCACAGAAAAACTAGACAGAAGCTTTCTGAGAAACTTCTTCGTGATGTGTCCATTCATCTCACAGAGTTAAACCTTTCTTTTGATTGAGGAGTTTGGAAAATGTCTTTTCTTAGAATCTGCGAAGGGATATTTGTGAGCCCTTTATGGCCTTTGTTGAAATATGAAATATCTTCACATAAAAAGTAGACAGAAGCTTTCTGACAAATTCCTTGGTGATGTGCACGTTTGTCACACGGAATTGAACCCTTCTTCTGATTGAGCAGTTTGGAATCAGTCTCTTTGTAGAATCTGTGAATGTGTATATAGAGAGTTTTAAGGCCTAGGGTGCCAAAGGCAATGTCTTCACATAAAAACGACACAGTAGCTTTTTGAGAAAACTCTTTGTGACATTTCCATTCATCTCTAATAGTTGACCATTTCCTTTCATTGAGCAGTTTGGAAGCAGTCTTTTTCTACAAACTGCAAAGGGATATTTCGGAGCGGTTTGGGGACAACGGTGAAAAATAAATATCTTCCCATGAAAACTAGACAGAAGCATTTTGAGAAACTTCTTTTTGATGTGTGTATTCATCTCACAGAGTTGAACCTTTCTTTTGATTTAGCAATTTGGAGAAAGTCTCTTGGTAGTATAAGTGGAGTCATATTTGTGAGCGGTTTAAGGCCTATGGTGCCAAAGGAAATACCTTTACATAAAATGTAGACAGAAGCTTTCCGAGAAACTCCTTTGTGATGTGTGCTTTCGTCTCACAGGGTTGCGCCTTTCTTTTGATTGACCAGTTTGGGAACATTCTTTTTGTAGAATCTGCAAATGGATATTTGGAGCAATTTGTGGCCTACGGTGAAAAAGGAAATATCTTCACATAAAAACTAGACCGGAGAATCCTGAGAAACTTCTTTTTGATGAGTGCATTCATTTCACATAGTTGAAACATGCTATGTGGGCCAGTTTGGAAACAGTCTTTTGGTAGAGTCTGCAGACAGATATTTTTGAGTGGCTTAAAGACTATGGTGAAAAAGGAAACATCTTCACATAGCAACCTGACAGAAGCAACTTGAGAAACGTCTTTGGGATGTGTTCATTCATCTCACAATGTTGAACGTTTCTCTTGATTGAGAAGTTTGTAAGGAGAACATTTGTAGAATCTGCAAAGGGGTATATGTGAGCCCCTTGATTCCTATGGCAAAATAGGAATCATCTTGAGATAAAAGCGAGACAGAAGATTTCTGAGAAACTTTTCGTGATGTGTGCTTTCATCTCACAGAGTTGAAAATTTCTTTTGATTGAGCAGTTTGGAAACAGTCTTTTCGTATCATCTGCAAACGGATGTTTGGAGCGCTTTGTGGCCTAAGGTGAAAATGGAAACATCTTCACATAAAAACTAGACAGAAGAATTCTGAGGAACTTCTGTATGATGTGTGCATTCATCTCAGATAGGTGAAATTTTCTTTTGATGGAGCAGTTTGGAAACAGTCTTTTTATAGTATCTGCAGAAGGATATTCGTGAGCGGTGTAAGGCCTATGGTGAAAAAGGAAATATCTTCACATTAAAACCAGACAGAAGCTTTCTGAGGAACTTCTTTGTGATGTGTGCATTCATCTCACCGTGTTGAAACTTTATTTTATTTGAGCAGTTTAGAGACAGTCTTTCTCTGCAATCTGCAAAGGTCTAATTCTGAGCCCTTTGAGGTCTATGGTGAAAAAGAAATATCTTCACATTTAAACTAGACAGAAGCATTCTGAGGAACTTCGTTGTGATGCCTCCATTCATCTGACAGAGTTGAAGGTTTCTTCTAATTCAGCACTTTGGAAAGCATATTTTTGTAGAATCTGCAAAGGGATATTTTTTAGACTTTTGAAGCCTATAGTGAAATAGTAAATATCTTCCCATGAAAACTAGACAGGAGAATTCTGAGAAACTTCATTCTGACGTGGGCATTAACCTCAGAGAATTTAACCTTTCTTTTGATTGAGAAGTATGGAAACGGTCGTCTTTTAGAATCTGGAAAGGGATATTTCTTAGCCCTTTGAGGCCTACGGTGAAACTGGAAATATCTTCACATGAAAAGTAGACCGAAGCTTTCGGACAAACTTCTTTGAGATGTGTGCTTTCACCTCACAGAGTTAAACACTTTCTTTTGATTGAGCAGTTTGGAAACACTCTTTCTGTGACATCTGTAAATGGATATTAGGAGTGCTTTGAGGCCAATGGTGACAAAGGAAGTATCTTCACATAAAAACTACACAGAAGTTTTCTGAGAAACTACTTGTTGATGTGTCCATTGATGTAACAGAGTTAAAACTTTCTTTTTATTGAGCAGTTTGGATACAGTCTTTTTGTAGAATCTGCAAAAATATTTGTGAGCCCTTTATTGCCTATGGTGAAATAGGAATCTTCTTCACATGTAAACAAGACAGAAGCATTCTGAGGAAGGTCTTCATGACGTGTGCATTCGTGTCACATAGTTGAAGCTTTCTTTGGATTGAGCAGTTTTGAAACAGTCCTTTTGTAGGATCTGCAAGGGGATATTTCTGAGCCCATTGAGTACTGTGATGCAATGTGAAGTATCTTCACATAAAAACTAGACAGATGCTTTCTAAGAAACTTCGTTGTGATGTGTGCTTTCATCGCACAGAATTGAAGCTATCCTTTGATTGAGGCGATTGGAAACACTCTTTTTCTAGAATCTGCAAATGGATATTTGGAGAGCTTTTGAGGCCCGTGGTGAAAAACGAAATATCTTCACGTAAAAACTAAACAGAAGCTTTCTGAGAAACTCCCTTGCGATGTGTGCATTCACCTCACCGAGTGGAAACTTTCTTTTGATTGAGCAGATTGGAAAGAGGCTTATCGTACAATCTGCAGAGGGAGAATTCTGATCCGTTTGAGGCTTATGGTGAAAGAGAAATATCTTCCCATAAGAACTAGACGGAAGCATTCTAAGAAATTTTTTGTGATGTGTCCATTCACGTCACAGAGTTGAACCTCTCCTTTGATTGGGCAGTTTGGAAACAGTCTTTTTGTAGAACCTGCAAAGGGATATTTGTGAGCCCTTTATGGCCTGTGGTGAAATACGAAGTATCTTCACCTAAAAACTAGACAGAAGGTTTCTGAGAAACTTCTTGGTGATGTGTGCCTTCATCTCACAGTGTTGAACCTTTCTTTTGATTGAGCAGTTTGGAAAGTCTTTCTGTAGAATCTGCAAATGGATATTTGGAGATATTTGAGGCCCGTGCTGAAAAAGGAAGTATCGTCACCTAAAAACCAGACAGAAGATTTCTGGAAAACCTCTTTGTGATGTGTGAATTCATGTCACAGAATTCAACCTTTCTTTCAGTTGAGCAGTTTGGAAACAGTCTTTGGTAGAAGCTGCAGAGGGAAATTTCTTAGCTGCTTGAGGCCTATGGTGAAAAAGAAATATCTTCACAGAAAAACTAGACAGAAGCTTTCTGAGAAACTTCTTCATGATGTGTCCATTCATCACACAGAGTTAAACCTTTCTTTTGATTGAGGAGTTTGGAAAACGTCTTTTCTTAGAATCTGCGAAAGGATATTTGTGAGCCCTTTATGGCCTTTGTTGAAATATGAAATATCTTCACATAAAAAGTAGACAGAAGCTTTCTGACAAATTCCTTGGTGATGTGCACGTTTGTCACACGGAATTGAACCCTTCTTCTGATTGAGCAGTTTGGAATCAGTCTTTTTGTAGAATCTGTGAATGTGTATTTAGAGAGTTTTAAGGCCTAGGGTGCCAAAGGCAATGTCTTCACATAAAAACGACACAGTAGCTTTTTGAGAAAACTCTTTGTGACATTTCCATTCATCTCTAATAGTTGGCCATTTCCTTTCATTGAGCAGTTTGGAAGCAGTCTTTTTCTACAAACTGCAAAGGGATATTTCTGAGCGGTTTGGGGCCAACGGTGAAAAATAAACATCTTCCCATGAAAACTAGACAGAAGCATTTTGAGAAACTTCTTTTTGATGTGTGTATTCATCTCACAGAGTTGAACCTTTCTTTTGATTTAGCAATTTGGAGAAAGTCTCTTGGTAGTATAAGTGGAGTCATATTTGCGAGCGGTTTAAGGCCTATGGTGCCAAAGGAAATACCTTCACATAAAATGCAGACAGAAGCTTTCCGAGAAACTTCTTTGTGATGTGTGCTTTCGTCTCACAGAGTTGCGCCTTTCTTTTCATTGACCAGTTTGGGAACATTCTTTTCGTACAATCTGCAAATGGATATTTGGAGCAATTTGTGGCCTTCGGTGAAAAAGGAAATATCTTCACATGAAAACTAGACAGGGAGACTCCTGAGAAACTTCTTTTTGATGAGTGCATTCATTTCACATAGTTGAAACATGCCATATGGGCCAGTTTGGAAACAGTCTTTTTGTAGAGTCTGCAGACAGATATTTTTGAGTGGCTTAAAGACTATGGTGAAAAAGGAAACATCTTCACATAGCAACCAGACAGAAGCAACCTGAGAAACGTCTTTGGGATGTGTTCATTCATCTCACAATGTTGAACGTTTCTTTTGATTGAGAAGTTTGTAAGGAGAACATTTGTAGAATCTGCAAAGGGGTATATGTGAGCCCCTTGTTTCCTATGGCAAAATAGGAATTATCTTGAGATAAAAGCGAGACAGAAGATTTCTGAGAAACTTTTTTGTGATGTGTGCTTTCATCTCACAGAGTTGAAAATTTCTCTTGATTGAGCAGTTTGGAAACAGTCTTTTCGTATCATCTGCAAACGGATGTTTGGGGCGCTTTGTGGCCTAAGGTGAAAATGGAAACATCTTCACATAAAAACTAGACAGAAGAATTCTGAGGAACTTCTTTATGATGTGTGCATTCATCTCAGATAGGTGAAATTTTCTTTTGATGGAGCAGTTTGGAAACCGTCTTTTTATAGTATCTGCAGAAGGATATTTGTGAGCGGTGTAAGGCCTATGGTGAAAAAGGAAATATCTTCACATAAAAACCAGACAGAAGCTTTCTGAGGAACTTCTTTGTGATGTGTGCATTCATCTCACCGTGTTGAAACTTTATTTTATTTGAGCAGTTTAGAGACAGTCTTTCTCTGCAATCTGCAAAGGTCTAATTCTGAGCCCTTTGAGGTCTATGGTGAAAAAGAAATGTCTTCACATTTCAACTAGACAGAAGCATTCTGAGGATCTTCGTTGTGATGCCTCTCCATTCATCTGACAGAGTTGAAGGGTTCTTTTAATTCAGCACTTTGGAAAGCATATTTTTGTAGAATCTGCAAAGGGATATTTTTGAGACATTTGAAGCCTATAGTGAAATAGTAAATATCTTCACATGGAAACTAGACAGGAGAATTCTGAGAAACTTCCTTCTGATGTGTGCATTAACCTCACAGAATTTAACCTTTCTTTTGATTGAGAAGTATGGAAATGGTGGTCTTTTAGAACCTGGAAAGGGATATTTCTTAGCCCTTTGAGGCCTATGGTGAGACTGGAAATACCATCACATGAAAACTAGTCCGAAGCTTTCGGAGAAACTTCTTTGAGATGTGTGCTTTCACCTCACAGAGTAAAACACTATCTTTTGATTGAGCAGTTTGGAAACACTCTTTCTGTGACATCTGTAAATGGATATTAGGAGTGCTTTGAGGCCAATGGTGACAAAGGAAGTATCTTCACATAAAAACTACACAGAAGTTTTCTGAGAAACTACTTGTTGATGTGTCCATTGATGTAACAGAGTTAAAACTTTCTTTTTATTGAGCAGTTTGGATACAGTCTTTTTGTAGAATCTGCAAAAAATATTTGTGAGCCCTTTATTGCCTATGGTGAAATAGGAATCTTCTTCACATGTAAACAAGACAGAAGCATTCTGAGGAACTTCTTCGTGACGTGTGCATTCATCTCACATAGTTGAAACTTTCTTTGGATTGAGCAGTTTTGAAACAGTCCTTTTGTAGGATCTGCAAGGGGATATTTCTGAGCCCATTGAGTACTGTGATGCAATGTGAAGTATCTTCACATAAAAACTAGACAGACGCTTTCTAAGAAACTTCGTTGTGATGTGTGCTTTCATCTCACAGAATTGAAACTATCCTTTGATTGAGGAGTTTGGAAACACTCTTTTTCTAGAATCTGCAAATGGATATTTGGAGAGCTTTTGAGGCCCGTGGTGAAAAGCGAAATATCTTCACGTAAAAACTAAACAGAAGCTTTCTGAGAAACTCCCTTGTGATGTGTGCATTCACCTAACCGAGTGGAAACTTTCTCTTGATTGAGCAGATTGGAAAGAGGCTTATTGTACAATCTGCAAAGGGAGAATTCTGATCCGTTTGAGGCTTATGGTGAAAGAGAAATATCTTCCCATAAGAACTAGACGGAAGCATTCCAAGAAATTGTTTGTGATGTGTCCATTCACGTCACAGAGTTGAACCTCTCCTTTGATTGATCAGTTTGGAAACAGTCTTTTTGTAGAACCTGCAGAGGGATATTTGTGAGCCCTTTATGGCCTGTGGTGAAATACGAAGTATCTTCACCTAAAAACTAGACAGAAGGTTTCTGAGAAACTTCTTGGTGATGTGTGCCTTCATCTCACAGTGTTGAACCTTTCTTTTGATTGAGCAGTTTGGAAAGTCTCTCTGTAGAATCTGCAAATGGATATTTGGAGATATTTGAGGCCCGTGCTGAAAAAGGAAGTATCGTCACCTAAAAACCAGACAGAAGATTTCTGAAAAACCTCTTTGTGATGTGTGAATTCATGTCACAGAATTCAACCTTTCTTTCAGGTGAGCAGTTTGGAAACAGTCTTTGGTAGAAGCTGCAGAGGGAAATTTCTTAGCTGCTTGAGGCCTATGGTGAAAAAGAAATATCTTCAAAGAAAAACTAGACAGAAGCTTTCTGAGAAACTTCTTCGTGATGTGTCCATTCATCTCACAGAGTTAAACCTTTCTTTTGATTGAGGAGTTTGCAAAACGTCTTTTCTTAGAATCTGCGAAGGGATATTTGTGAGCCCTTTTTGGCCTTTGTTGAAATATGAAATATCTTCACATAAAAAGTAGACAGAAGCTTTCTGACAAATTTCTTGGTGATGTGCACGTTTGTCACACGGAATTGAACCCTTCTTCTGATTGAGCAGTTTGGAATCAGTCTTTTTGTAGAATCTGTGAATGTGCATTTAGAGAGTTTTAAGGCCTAGGGTGCCAAAGGCAATGTCTTCACATGAAAACGACACAGTAGCTTTTTGAGAAAACTGTTTGTGACATTTCCATTCATCTCTAATAGTTGACCATTTCCTTTCATTGAGCAGTTTGGAAGCAGTCTTTTTCTACAAACTGCAAAGGGATATTTCTGAGCGGTTTGGGGCCAACGGTGAAAAATAAATATCTTCCCATGAAAACTAGACAGAAGCATTTTGAGGAACTTCTTTTTGATGTGTGTATTCATCTCACAGAGTTGAACCTTTCTTTTGATTTAGCAATCTGGAGAAAGTCTCTAGGTAGTATAAGTGGAGTTATATTTGCGAGCGGTTTAAGGCCTATGGTGCCAAAGGAAATACCTTCACATAAAATGTAGACAGAAGCTTTCCGGGAAACTTCTTTGTGATGTGTGCTTTCATCTCACAGAGTTGCGCCTTTCTTTTGATTGACCAGTTTGGGAACATTCTTTTTGTAGAATCTGCAAATGGATATTTGGAGCAATTTGTGGCCTACGGTGAAAAAGGAAATATCTTCACATAAAAACTAGACAGGAGAATCCTGAGAACCTTCTTTTTGATGAGTGCATTCATTTCACATCGTTGAAACATGCTATATGGGCCAGTTTGGAAACAGTCTTTTTGTGGAGTCTGCAGACAGATATTTTTGAGTGGCTAAAAGACTATGGTGAAAAAGGAAACATCTTCACATAGCAACCAGACAGAAGCAACCCTGAGAAACTTCTTTGGGATGTGTTCATTCATCTCCCAATGTTGAACGTTTCTTTTGATTGAGAAGTTTGTAAAGAGAACTTTTGTAGAATCCGCAAAGGGATATATGTGAGCCCCTTGATTCCTATGGCAAAATAGGAATTATCTTGAGATAAAAGCGAGACAGAAGGTTTCTGAGAAACTTTTTTGTGATGTGTGCTTTCATCTCACAGAGTTGAAAATTTCTTTTGATTGAGCAGTTTGGAAACAGTCTTTTCGTATCATCTGCAAATGGATGTTTGGGGCGCTTTGTGGCCTAAGGTGAAAATGGAAACACCTTCACATAAAAACTAGACAGAAGAATTCTGAGGAACTTCTTTATGATGTGTGCATTCATCTCAGATAGGTGAAATTTTCTTTTGATGGAGCAGTTTGGAAACCGTCTTTTTATAGTATCTGCAGAAGGATATTCGTGAGCGGTGTAAGGCCTATGGTGAAAAAGGAAATATCTTCACATAAAAACCAGACAGAAGCCTTCTGAGGAACTTCTTTGTGATGTGTGCGTTCATCTCACCGTGTTGAAACTTTATTTTATTTGAGCAGTTTAGAGACAGTCTTTCTCTGCAATCTGCAAAGGTCTAACTCTGAGCCCTTTGAGGTCTATGGTGAAAAAGAAATGTCTTCACATTTAAACTAGACAGAAGCATTCTGAGGAACTTCTTCGTGATGTCTCCATTCACCTGACAGAGTTGAAGGTTTCTTTTAATTCAGCACTTTGGAAAGCATATTTTTGTAGAATCTGCAAAGGGATATTTTTGAGATATTTGAAGCCTATAGTGAAATAGTAAATATCTTCACATGAAAACTAGACAGGAGAATTCTGAGAAACTTCATTCTGACGTGGACATTAACCTCAGAGTATTTAACCTTTCTTTTGATTGAGAAGTATGGAAACGGTCGTCTTTTAGAATCTGGAAAGGGATATTTCTTAGCCCTTTGAGGCCTACGGTGAAACTGGAAATATCTTCACATGAAAAGTAGACCGAAGCTTTCGGAGAAACTTCTTTGAGATGTGTGCTTTCACCTCACAGAGTTAAACACTTTCTTTTGATTGAGCAGTTTGGAAACACTCTTTCTGTGACATCTGTAAATGGATATTAGGAGTGCTTTGAGGCCAATGGTGACAAAGGAAGTATCTTCACATAAAAAGTACACAGAAGTTTTCTGAGAAACTACTTGTTGATGTGTCCATTAATGTAACAGAGTTAAAACTTTCTTTTTATTGAGCAGTTTGGATACAGTATTTTTGGAGAATCTCACAAAAAATATTTGTGAGCCCTTTATTGCCTATGGTGAAATAGGAATCTTCTTCACATGTAAACAAGACAGAAGCATTCTGAGGAACGTCTTCGTGACGTGTGCATTCATCTCACATAGTTGAAACTTTCTTTGGATTGAGCAGTTTTGAATCAGTCCTTTTGTAGGATCTGCAAGGGGATATTTCTGAGCCCATTGAGTACTGTGATGCAATGTGAAGTATCTTCACATAAAAACTACACAGAAGCTTTCTAAGAAACTTCGTTGTGATGTGTGCTTTCATCTCACAGAATTGAAACTATCCTTTGATTGAGGAGTTTGGAAACACTCTTTTTCTAGAATCTGCAAATGGATATTTGGAGAGCTTTAGAGGCCCGTGGTGAAAAACGAAATATCTTCACGTAAAAACTAAACAGAAGCTTTGTGAGAAACTCCCTTGCGATGTGTGCATTCACCTCACCGAGTGGAAACTTTCTTTTGATTGAGCAGATTGGAAAGAGGCTTATCGTACAATCTGCAAAGGGAGAATTCTGATCCGTTTGAGGCTTATGGTGAAAGAGAAATATCTTCCCATAAGAACTAGACGGAAGCATTCCAAGAAATTGTTTGTGATGTGTCCATTCACGTCACAGAGTTGAACCTCTCCTTTGATTGATCAGTTTGGAAACAGTCTTTTTGTAGAACCTGCAAAGGGATATTTGTGAGCCCTTTATGGCCTGTGGTGAAATACGAAGTATCTTCACCTAAAAACTAGACAGAAGATTTCTGAGAAACTTCTTGGTGATGTGTGCCTTCATCTCACAGTGTTGAACCTTTCTTTTGATTGAGCAGTTTGGAAAGTCTTTCTGTAGAATCTGCAAATGGATATTTGGAGATATTTGAGGCCCGTGGTGAAAAAGGAAGTATCTTCACCTAAAAACCAGACAGGAGATTTCTGAAAAACCTCTTTGTGATGTGTGAATTCATGTCACAGAATTCAACCTTTCTTTCAGTTGAGCAGTTTGGAAACAGTCTTTGGTAGAAGCTGCAGAGGGAAATTTCTTAGCTGCTTGAGGCCTATGGTGAAAAAGAAATATCTTCACAGAAAAACTAGACAGAAGCTTTCTGAGAAACTTCTTCGTGATGTGTCCATTCATCTCACAGTGTTAAACCTTTCTTTTGATTGAGGAGTTTGGCAAACGTCTTTTCTTAGAATCTGCGAAGGGATATTTGTGAGCCCTTTATGGCCTTTGTTGAAATATGAAATATCTTCACATAAAAAGTAGACAGAAGCTTTCTGACAAATTCCTTGGTGATGTGCACGTTTGCCACACGGAATTGAACCCTTCTTCTGATTGAGCAGTTTGGAATCAGTCTTTTTGTAGAATCTGTGAATGTGTATTGAGAGAGTTTTAAGGCCTAGGGTGCCAAAGGCAATGTCTTCACATAAAAACGACACAGTAGCTTTTTGAGAAAACTCTTTGTGACATTTCCATTCATCTCTAATAGTTGGCCATTTCCTTTCATTGAGCAGTTTGGAAGCAGTCTTTTTCTACAAACTGCAAAGGGATATTTCTGAGCGGTTTGGGGCCAACGGTGAAAAATAAATATCTTCCCATGAAAACTAGACAGAAGCATTTTGAGAAACTTCTTTTTGATGTGTGTATTCATCTCACAGAGTTGAACCTTTCTTTTGATTTAGCAATCTGGAGAAAGTCTCTAGGTCGTTTAATTGGAGTTATATTTGCGAGCGGTTTAAGGCCTATGGTGCCAAAGGAAATACGTTCACATAAAATGTAGACAGAAGCTTTCCGAGAAACTCCTTTGTGATGTGTGCTTTCGTCTCACAGAGTTGCGCCTTTCTTTTGATTGACCAGTTTGGGAACATTCTTTTTGTAGAATCTGCAAATGGATATTTGGAGCAATTTGTGGCCTACGGTGAAAAAGGAAATATCTTCACATAAAAACTAGACAGGAGAATCCTGAGAAACTTCTTTTTGATGAGTGCATTCATTTCACATAGTTGAAACATGCTATATGGGCCAGTTTGGAAACAGTCTTTTGGTAGAGTCTGCAGACAGATATTTTTGAGTGGCTTAAAGACTATGGTGAAAAAGGAAACATCTTCACATAGCAACCAGACAGAAGCAACCTGAGAAACTTCTTTGGGATGTGTTCATTCATCTCCCAATGTTGAACGTTTCTTTTGATTGAGAAGTTTGTAAAGAGAACTTTTGTAGAATCCGCAAAGGGATATATGTGAGCCCCCTGATTCCTATGGCAAAATAGGAATTATCTTGAGATAAAAGCGAGACAGAAGATTTCTGAGAAACTTTTTTGTGATGTGTGCTTTCATCTCACAGAGTTGAAAATTTCTTTTGATTGAGCAGTTTGGAAACAGTCTTTTCGTATCATCTGCAAACGGATGTTTGGAACGCTTTGTGGCCTAAGGTGAAAATGGAAACATTCTTCACATAAAAACTAGACAGAAGAATTCTGAGGAACTTCTTTATGATGTGTGCATTCATCTCAGATGGGTGAAATTTTCTTTTGATGGAGCAGTTTGGAAACCGTCTTTTTCTAGTATCTGCAAAAGGATATTTGTGAGCGGTGTAAGGCCTATGGTGGAAAAGGAAATATCTTCACATAAAAACCAGACAGAAGCTTTCTGAGGAACTTCTTTGTGAGGTGTGCATTCATCTCACCGTGTTGAAACTTTATTTTATTTGAGCAGTTTAGAGACAGTCTTTCTCTGCAATCTGCAAAGGTCTAATTCTGAGCCCTTTGAGGTCTATGGTGAAAAAGAAATGTCTTCACATTTCAACTAGACAGAAGCATTCTGAGGAACTTCTTTGTGATGTCTCCATTCATCTGACAGAGTTGAAGGTTTCTTTTAATTCAGCACTTTGGAAAGCATATTTTTGTAGAATCTGCAAAGGGATATTTTTGAGACATTTGAAGCCTATAGTGAAATAGTAAATATCTTCCCATGAAAACTAGACAGGAGAATTCTGAGAAACTTCATTCTGATGTGTGCATTAACCTCACAGAATTTAACCTTTCCTTTGATTGAGAAGTATGGAAATGGTGGTCTTTTAGAATCTGGAAATGGATATTTCTTAGCCCTTTGAGGCCTATGGTGAGACTGGAAATATCATCACATGAAAACTAGACCGAAGCTTTCGGAGAAACTTCTTTGAGATGTGTGCTTTCACCTCACAGAGTTAAACACTTTCTTTTGATTGAGCAGTTTGGAAACACTCTTTCTGTGACATCTGTAAATGGATATTAGGAGTGCTTTGAGGCCAATGGTGACAAAGGAAGTATCTTCACATAAAAACTACACAGAAGTTTTCTGAGAAACTACCTTTCGATGTGTCCATTAATCAAACAGAGTTAAAACTTTATTTTTATTGAGCAGTTTGGATACAGTCTTTTTGTAGAATCTGCAAAACATATTTGTGAGCCCTTTATTGCCTATGGTGGAATAGGAATCTTCTTCACATATAAACTAGACAGAAGCATTCTGAGGCACTTCTTCGTGACGTGTGCATTCGTCTCACATAGTTGAAACTTTCTTTGGATTGAGCAGTTTTGAAACAGTCCTTTTGTAGGATCTGCAAGGGGATATTTCTGAGCCCCTTGAGTACTGTGATGCAATGTGAAGTATCTTCACATAAAAACTTCACAGAGGCTTTCTAAGAAACTTCGTTGTGATGTCTGCTTTCCTCTCACAGAATTGAAACTATCCTTTGATTGAGGAGTTTGGAAACACTCTTTTTCTAGAATCTGCAAATGGATATTTGGAGAGCTTTTGAGGCCCGTGGTGAAAAACGAAATACCTTCACGTAAAAACTAAACAGAAGCTTTCTGAGAAACTCCCTTGCGATGTGTGCATTCACCTCACCGAGTGGAAACTTTCTTTTGATTGAGCAGATTGGAAAGAGGCTTATTGTACAATCTGCAAAGGGAGAATTCTGATCCGTTTGAGGCTTATGGTGAAAGAGAAATATCTTCCCATAAGAACTAGACGGAAGCATTCCAAGAAATTTTTTATGATGTGTCCATTCACGTCACAGAGTTGAACCTCTCCTTTGATTGAGCAGTTTGGAAACAGTCTTTTTGTAGAACCTGCAAAGGGATATTTGTGAGCCCTTTATGGCCTGTGGTGAAATACGAAGTATCTTCACCTAAAAACTAGACAGAAAGTTTCTGAGAAATTTCTTGGTGATGTGTGCCTTCATCTCACAGTGTTGAACCTTTCTTTTGATTGAGCAGTTTGGAAAGTCTTTCTGTAGAATCTGCAAATGGATATTTGGAGATATTTGAGGCCCGTGCTGAAAAAGGAAGTATCGCCACCTAAAAACCAGACAGAAGATTTCTGAAAAACCTCTTTGTGATGTGTGAATTCATGTCACAGAATTCAACCTTTCTTTCAGGTGAGCAGTTTGGAAACAGTCTTTGGTAGAAGCTGCAGAGAGAAATTTCTTAGCTGCTTGAGGCCTATGGTGAAAAAGAAATATCGTCACAGAAAAACTAGACAGAAGCTTTCTGAGAAACTTCTTCGTGATGTGTCCATTCATCTCACAGAGTTAAAACTTTCTTTTGATTGAGGAGTTTGGAAAACGTCTTTTCTTAGAATCTGCGAAGGGATATTTGTGAGCCCTTTATGGCCTTTGTTGAAATATGAAATATCTTCACATAAAAAGTAGACAGAAGCTTTCTGACAAATTTCTTGGTGATGTGCACGTTTGTCACACGGAATTGAACCCTTCTTCTGATTGAGCAGTTTGGAATCAGTCTTTTTGTAGAATCTGTGAATGTGCATTTAGAGAGTTTTAAGGCCTAGGGTGCAAAAGGCAATGTCTTCACATAAAAACGACACAGTAGATTTTCGAGAAAACTCTTTGTGACATTTCCATTCATCTCTAATAGTTGACCATTTCCTTTCATTGAGCAGTTTGGGAGCAGTCTTTTCCTACAAACTGCAAAGGGATATTTCTGAGCGGTTTGGGGCCAACGGTGAAAAATAAATATCTTCCCATGAAAACTAGACAGAAGCATTTTGAGAAACTTCTTTTTGATGTGTGTATTCATCTCACAGAGTTGAACCTTTCTTTTGATTTAGCAATCTGGAGAAAGTCTCTAGGTCGTTTAATTGGAGTTATATTTGTGAGCGGTTTAAGGCCTATGGTGCCAAAGGAAATACGTTCACATAAAATGTAGACAGAAGCTTTCCGGGAAACTTCTTTGTGATGTGTGCTTTCGTCTCACAGAGTTGCGCCTTTCTTTTGATTGACCAGTTTGGGAACATTCTTTTTGTAGAATCTGCAAATGGATATTTGGAGCAATTTGTGGCCTACGGTGAAAAAGGAAATATCTTCACATAAAAACTAGACAGGAGAATCCTGAGAAACTTCTTTTTGATGAGTGCATTCATTTCACATAGTTGAAACATGCTATATGGGCCAGTTTGGAAACGGTCTTTTGGTAGAGTCTGCAGACAGATATTTTTGAGTGGCTTAAAGACTATGGTGAAAAAGGAAACATCTTCACATAGCAACCAGACAGAAGCAACCTGAGAAACGTCTTTGGGATGTGTTCATTCATCTCACAATGTTGAACGTTGCTCTTGATTGAGAAGTTTGTAAGGAGAACATTTGTAGAATCTGCAAAGGGATATATGTGAGCCCCTTGATTTCCTATGGCAAAATAGGAATCATCTTGAGATAAAAGCGAGATAGAAGATTTCTGAGAAACTTTTTCGTGATGTGTGCTTTCATCTCACAGAGTTGAAAATTTCTTTTCACTGAGCAGTTTGGAAACAGTCTTTTCGTATCATCTGCAAACGGATGTTTGGAGCGCTTTGTGGCCTAAGGTGAAAATGGAAACATCTTCACATAAAAACTAGACAGAAGAATTCTGAGGAACTTCTTTATGATGTGTGCATTCATCTCAGATAGGTGAAATTTTCTTTTGATGGAGCAGTTTGGAAACAGTCTTTTTCTAGTATCTGCAGAAGGATATTTGTGAGCGGTGTAAGGCCTATGGTGAAAAAGGAAATATCTTCACATAAAAACCAGACAGAAGCTTTCTGAGGAACTTCTTTGTGAGGTGTGCATTCATCTCACCGTGTTGAAACTTTATTTTATTTGAGCAGTTTAGAGACAGTCTTTCTCTGCAATCTGCAAAGGTCTAATTCTGAGCCCTTTGAGGTCTATGGTGAAAAAGAAATATCTTCCCATTTAAACTAGACAGAAGCATTCTGAGGAACTTCTTTGTGATGTCTCCATTCATCTGACAGAGTTGAAGGTTTCTTTTAATTCAGCACTTTGGAAAGCATATTTTTGTAGAATCTGCAAAAGGATATTTTTGAGACATTTGAAGCCTATAGTGAAATAGTAAATATCTTCACATGAAAACTAGACAGGAGAATTCTGAGAAACTTCATTCTGATGTGTGCATTAACCTCACAGAATTTAACCTTTCTTTTGATTGAGAAGTATGGAAATGGTGGTCTTTTAGAATCTGGAAAGGGATATTTCTTAGCCCTTTGAGGCCTATGGTGAGACTGGAAATATCATCACATGAAAACTAGACCGAAGCTTTCGGAGAAACTTCTTTGAGATGTGTGCTTTCACCTCACAGAGTTAAACACTTTCTTTTGATGGAGCAGTTTGGAAACACTCTTTCTGTGACATCTGTAAATGGATATTAGGAGTGCTTTGAGGCCAATGGTGACAAAGGAAGTATCTTCACATAAAAACTACACAGAAGTTTTCTGAGAAACTACTTTTTGATGTGTCCATTAACCTAACAGAGTTAAAACTTTCTTTTTATTGAGCAGTTTGGGTACAGTCTTTTTGTAGAATCTGCAAAACATATTTGTGAGCCCTTTATTGCCTATGGTGGAATAGGAATCTTCTTCACATATAAAGTAGACAGAAGCATTCTGAGGAACGTCTTCGTGACGTGCGCATTCATCTCACATAGTTGAAACTTTCTTTGGATTGAGCAGTTTTGAAACAGTCCTTTTGTAGGATCTGCAAGGGGATATTTCTGAGCCCATTGAGTACTGTGATGCAATGTGAAGTATCTTCACATAAAAACTACACAGAAGCTTTCTAAGAAACTTCGTTGTGATGTGTGCTTTCATCTCACAGAATTGAAACTATCCTTTGATTGAGGAGTTTGGAAACACTCTTTTTCTAGAATCTGCAAATGGATATTTGGAGAGCTTTTGAGGCCCGTGGTGAAAAACGAAATATCTTCACGTAAAAACTAAACAGAAGCTTTCTGAGAAACTCCCTTGCGATGTGTGCATTCACCTCACCGAGTGGAAACTTTCTTTTGATTGAGCAGATTGGAAAGAGGCTTATCGTACAATCTGCAAAGGGAGAATTCTGATCCGTTTGAGGCTTATGGTGAAAGAGAAATATCTTCCCATAAAAACTAGACGGAAGCATTCCAAGAAATTGTTTGTGATGTGTCCATTCACGTCACAGAGTTGAACCTCTCCTTTGATTGAGCCGTTTGGAAACAGTCTTTTTGTAGAACCTGCAAAGGGATATTTGTGAGCCCTTTATGGCCTGTGGTGAAATACGAAGTATCTTCACCTAAAAACTAGACAGAAGGTTTCTGAGAAACTTCTTGGTGATGTGTGCCTTCATCTCACAGTGTTGAACCTTCTTTTGATTGAGCAGTTTGGAAAGTCTTTCTGTAGAATCTGCAAATGGATATTTGGAGATATTTGAGGCCCGTGGTGAAAAAGGAGGTATCGTCACCTAAAAACCAGACAGAAGATTTCTTAAAAACCTCTTTGTGATGTGTGAATTCATGTCACAGAATTCAACCTTTCTTTCAGTTGAGCAGTTTGGAAACAGTCTTTGGTAGAAGCTGCAGAGGGAAATTTCTTAGCTGCTTGAGGCCTATGGTGAAAAAGAAATATCTTCACAGAAAAACTAGACAGAAGCTTTCTGAGAAACTTCTTCGTGATGTGTCCATTCATCTCACAGAGTTAAACCTTTCTTTTGATTGAGGAGTTTGGAAAACGTCTTTTCTTAGAATCTGCGAAGGGATATTTGTGAGCCCTTTATGGCCTTTGTTGAAATATGAAATATCTTCACATAAAAAGTAGACAGAGGCTTTCTGACAAATTTCTTGGTGATGTGCACGTTTGTCACACGGAAATTGAACCCTTCTTCTGATTGAGCAGTTTGGAATCAGTCTTTTTGTAGAATCTGTGAATGTGTATTTAGAGAGTTTTAAGGCCTAGGGTGCAAGAGGCAATGTCTTCACATAAAAACGACACAGTGGCTTTTTGAGAAAACTCTTTGTGACATTTCCATTCATCTCTAATAGTTGGCCATTTCCTTACATTGAGCAGTTTGGAAGCAGTCTTTTTCTACAAACTGCAAAGGGATATTTCTGAGCGGTTTGGGGCCAATGGTGAAAAATAAATATCTTCCCATGAAAACTAGACGGAAGCATTTTGAGAAACTTCTTTTTGATGTGTGTATTCATCTCACAGAGTTGAACCTTTCTTTTGATTTAGCAATTTGGAGAAAGTCTCTTGGTAGTATAAGTGGAGTTATATTTGCGAGCGGTTTAAGGCCTATGGTGCCAAAGGAAATACCTTCACATAAAATGTAGACAGAGGATTTCCGAGAAACTTCTTTGTGATGTGTGCTTTCGTCTCACAGAGTTGCGCCTTTCTGTTGATTGACCAGTTTGGGAACATTCTTTTTGTAGAATCTGCAAATGGATATTTGGAGCAATTTGTGGCCTACGGTGAAAAAGGAAATATCTTCACATGAAAACTAGACAGGAGACTCCTGAAAAACTACTTTTTGATGAGTGCATTCGTTTCACATAGTTGAAACATGCCATATGGGCCAGTTTGGAAAGAGTCTTTTTGTAGAGTCTGCAGACAGATATTTTTGAGTGGCTTAAAGACTATGGTGAAAAAGGAAACATCTTCACATAGCAACCAGACAGAAGCAACCTGAGAAACTTCTTTGGGATGTGTTCATTCATCTCCCAATGTTGAACGTTTCTTTTGATTGAGAAGTTTGTAAAGAGAACTTTTGTAGAATCCGCAAAGGGATATATGTGAGCCCCTTGATTCCTATGGCAAAATAGGAATTATCTTGAGATAAAAGCGAGACAGAAGATTTCTGAGAAACTTTTTTGTGATGTGTGCTCTCATCTCACAGAGTTGAAAATTTCTTTTGATTGAGCAGTTTGGAAACAGTCTTTTCGTATCATCTGCAAACGGATGTTTGGAGCGCTTTGTGGCCTAAGGTGAAAATGGAAACATCTTCACATAAAAACTAGACAGAAGAATTCTGAGGAACTTCTTTATGATGTGTGCATTCATCTCAGATGGGTGAAATTTTCTTTTGATGGAGCAGTTTGGAAACAGTCTTTTTCCAGTATCTGCAAAAGGATATTTGTGAGCGGTGTAAGGCCTATGGTGGAAAAGGAAATATCTTCACATAAAAACCAGACAGAAGCCTTCTGAGGAACTTCTTTGTGATGTGTGCGTTCATCTCACCGTGTTGAAACTCTATTTTATTTGAGCAGTTTAGAGACAGTCTTTCTCTGCAATCTGCAAAGGTCTAACTCTGAGCCCTTTGAGGTCTATGGTGAAAAAGAATTGTCTTCACATTTAAACTAGACAGAAGCATTCTGAGGAACTTCTTCGTGATGTCTCCATTCATCTGACAGAGTTCAAGGTTTCTTTTAATTCAGCACTTTGGAAAGCATATTTTTGTAGAATCTGCAAAGGGATATTTTTGAGACATTTGAAGCCTATAGTGAAATAGTAAATATCTTCACATGAAAACTAGACAGGAGAATTCTGAGAAACTTCATTCTGATGTGTGCATTAACCTCACCGAATTTAACCTTTCTTTTGATTGAGAAGTATGGAAATGGTGGTCTTTTAGAATCTGGAAAGGGATATTTCTTAGCCCTTTGAGGCCTATGGTGAGACTGGAAATATCATCGCATGAAAACTAGACCGAAGCTTTCGGAGAAACTTCTTTGAGATGTGTGCTTTCACCTCACAGAGTAAAACACTTTCTTTTGATTGAGCAGTTTGGAAACACTCTTTCTGTGACATCTGTAAATGGATATTAGGAGTGCTTTGAGGCCAATGGTGACAAAGGAAGTATCTTCACATAAAAACTACACAGAAGTTTTCTGAGAAACTACTTGTTGATGTGTCCATTGATGTAACAGAGTTAAAACTTTCTTTTTATTGAGCAGTTTGGATACAGTCTTTTTGTAGAATCTGCAAAAATATTTGTGAGCCCTTTATTGCCTATGGTGAAAGAGGAATCTTCTTCACATGTAAACAAGACAGAAGCATTCTGAGGAACGTCTTCGTGACGTGCGCATTCATCTCACATAGTTGAAACTTTCTTTGGATTGAGCAGTTTTGAAACAGTCCTTTTGTAGGATCTGCAAGGGGATATTTCTGAGCCCATTGAGTACTGTGATGCAATGTGAAGTATCTTCACATAAAAACTAGACAGACGCTTTCTAAGAAACTTCGTTGTGATGTGTGCTTTCGTCTCACAGAATTGAAACTATCCTTTGATTGAGGAGTTTGGAAACACTCTTTTTCTAGTGTCTGCAAATGGATATTTGGAGAGCTTTTGAGGCCCGTGGTGAAAAACGAAATATCTTCACGTAAAAACTAAACAGAAGCTTTCTGAGAAACTCCCTTGCGATGTGTGCATTCACCTCACCGAGTGGAAACTTTCTTTTGATTGAGCAGATTGGAAAGAGGCTTATCGTACAATCTGCAAAGGGAGAATTCTGATCCGTTTGAGGCCTATGGTGAAAGAGAAATATCTTCCCATAAGAACTAGACGGAAGCATTCCAAGAAATTTTTTGTGATGTGTCCATTCACGTCACAGAGTTGAACCTCTCCTTTGATTGGGCAGTTTGGAAACAGTCTTTTTGTAGAACCTGCAGAGGGATATTTGTGAGCCCTTTATGGCCTGTGGTGAAATACGAAGTATCTTCACCTAAAAACTAGACAGAAGGTTTCTGAGAAACTTCTTGGTGATGTGTGCCTTCATCTCACAGTGTTGAACCTTTCTTTTGATTGAGCAGTTTGGAAAGTCTCTCTGTAGAATCTGCAAATGGATATTTGGAGATATTTGAGTCCCGTGCTGAAAAAGGAAGTATCGTCACCTAAAAACCAGACAGAAGATTTCTGAAAAACCTCTTTGTGATGTGTGAATTCATGTCACAGAATTCAACCTTTCTTTCAGTTGAGCAGTTTGGAAACAGCCTTTGGTAGAAGCTGCAGAGGGAAATTTCTTAGCTGCTTGAGGCCTATGGTGAAAAAGAAATATCTTCACAGAAAAACTAGACAGAAGCTTTCTGAGAAACTTCTTCGTGATGTGTCCATTCATCTCACAGAGTTAAACCTTTCTTTTGATTGAGGAGTTTGGAAAACGTCTTTTCTTAGAATCTGCGAAGGGATATTTGTGAGCCCTTTATGGCCTTTGTTGGAATATGAAATATCTTCACATAAAAAGTAGACAGAAAGCTTTCTGACAAATTCCTTGGTGATGTGCACGTTTGTCACACGGAATTGAACCCTTCTTCTGATTGAGCAGTTTGGAATCAATCTTTTTGTAGAATCTGTGAATGTGTATATAGAGAGTTTTAAGGCCTAGGGTGCCAAAGGCAATGTCTTCACATAAAAACGACACAGTAGCTTTTTGAGAAAACTCTTTGTGACATTTCCATTCATCTCTAATAGTTGACCATTTCCTTTCATTGAGCAGTTTGGAAGCAGTCTTTTTCTACAAACTGCAAAGGGATATTTCTGAGCGGTTTGGGGCCAACGGTGAAAAATAAATATCTTCCCATGAAAACTAGACAGAAGCATTTTGAGAAACTTCTTTTTGATGTGTGTATTCATCTCACAGAGTTGAACCTTTCTTTTGATTTAGCAATTTGGAGAAAGTCTCTTGGTAGTATAAGTGGAGTTATATTTGCGAGCGGTTTAAGGCCTATGGTGCCAAAGGAAATACCTTCACATAAAATGCAGACAGAGGCTTTCCGAGAAACTTCTTTGTGATGTGTGCTTTCGTCTCACAGAGTTGCGCCTTTCCTTTGATTGACCAGTTTGGGAACATTCTTTTTGTAGAATCTGCAAATGGATATTTGGAGCAATTTGTGGCCTACGGTGAAAAAGGAAATATCTTCACATAAAAACTAGACAGGAGAATCCTGAGAAACTTCTTTTTGATGAGTGCATTCATTTCACATAGTTGAAACATGCTATATGGGCCAGTTTGGAAACAGTCTTTTGGTAGAGTCTGCAGACAGATATTTTTGAGGGGCTTAAAGACTATGGTGAAAAAGGAAACATCTTCACATAGCAACCAGACAGAAGCAACCTGAGAAACGTCTTTGGAATGTGTTCATTCATCTCACAATGTTGAACGTTTCTTTTGATTGAGAAGTTTGTAAGGAGAACATTTGTAGAATCTGCAAAGGGGTATATGTGAGCCCCTTGATTCCTATGGCAAAATAGGAATTATCTTGAGATAAAAGCGAGACAGAAGATTTCTGAGAAACTTTTTTGTGATGTGTGCTTTCATCTCACAGAGTTGAAAATTAATCTTGATTGAGCAGTTTGGAAACAGTCTTTTCGTATCATCTGCAAACGGATGTTTGGGGCGCTTTGTGGCCTAAGGTGAAAATGGAAACATCTTCACATAAAAACTAGACAGAAGCAATTCTGAGGAACTTCTGTATGATGTGTGCATTCATCTCAGATAGGTGAAATTTTCTTTTGATGGAGCAGTTTGGAAACAGTCTTTTTATAGTATCTGCAGAAGGATATTCGTGAGCGGTGTAAGGCCTATGGTGAAAAAGGAAATATCTTCACATTAAAACCAGACAGAAGCCTTCTGAGGAACTTCTTTGTGATGTGTGCGTTCATCTCGCCGTGTTGAAACTTTATTTTATTTGAGCAGTTTAGAGACAGTCTTTCTCTGCAATCTGCAAAGGTCTAACTCTGAGCCCTTTGAGGTCTATGGTGAAAAAGAAATGTCTTCACATTTAAACTAGACAGATGCATTCTGAGGAACTTCTTCGTGATGTCTCCATTCATCTGACAGAGTTGAAGGTTTCTTTTAATTCAGCACTTTGGAAAGCATATTTTTGTAGAATCTGCAAAGGGATATTTTTGAGACATTTGAAGCCTATAGTGAAATAGTAAATATCTTCACGTGAAAACTAGACAGGAGAATTCTGAGAAACTTCATTCTGATGTGTGCATTAACCTCACAGAATTTAACCTTTCTTTTGATTGAGAAGTATGGAAATGGTGGTCTTTTAGAACCTGGAAAGGGATATTTCTTAGCCCTTTGAGGCCTATGGTGAGACTGGAAATATCATCACATGAAAACTAGACCGAAGCTTTCGGAGAAACTTCTTTGAGATGTGTGCTTTCACCTCACAGAGTTAAACACTTTCTTTTGATTGAGCAGTTTGGAAACACTCTTTCTGTGACATCTGTAAATGGATATTAGGAGTGCTTTGAGGCCAATGGTGACAAAGGAAATATCTTCACATAAAAACTACACAGAAGTTTTCTGAGAAACTACTTGTTGATGTGTCCATTAATGTAACAGAGTTAAAACTTTCTTTTTATTGAGCAGTTTGGATACAGTCTTTTTGGAGAATCTGCAAAAAATATTTGTGAGCCCTTTATTGCCTATGGTGAAATAGGAATCTTCTTCACATGTAAACAAGACAGAAGCATTCTGAGGAACATCTTCGTGACGTGCGCATTCATCTCACATAGTTGAAACTTTCTTTGGATTGAGCAGTTTTGAAACAGTCCTTTTGTAGGATCTGCAAGGGGATATTTCTGAGACCATTGAGTACTGTGATGCAATGTGAAGTATCTTCACATAAAAACTACACAGACGCTTTCTAAGAAACTTCGTTGTGATGTGTGCTTTCGTCTCACAGAATTGAAACTATCCTTTGATTGAGGAGTTTGGAAACACTCTTTTTCTAGAATATGCAAATGGATATTTGGAGAGCTTTTGAGGCCCGTGGTGAAAAACGAAATATCTTCACGTAAAAACTAAACAGAAGCTTTCTGAGAAACTCCCTTGCGTTGTGTGCATTCACCTCACCGAGTGGAAACTTTCTTTTGATTGAGCAGATTGGAAAGAGGCTTATCGTACAATCTGCAAAGGGAGAATTCTGATCCGTTTGAGGCTTATGGTGAAAGAGAAATATCTTCCCATAAAAACTAGACGGAAGCATTCCAAGAAATTTTTTGTGATGTGTCCATTCACGTCACAGAGTTGAACCTCTCCTTTGATTGGGCAGTTTGGAAACAGTCTTTTTGTAGAACCTGCAAAGGGATATTTGTGAGCCCTTTATGGCCTGTGGTGAAATACGAAGTATCTTCACCTAAAAACTAGACAGAAGGTTTCTGAGAAACTTCTTGGTGATGTGTGCCTTCATCTCACAGTGTTGAACCTTTCTTTTGATTGAGCAGTTTGGAAAGTCTTTCTGTAGAATCTGCAAATGGATATTTGGAGATATTTGAGGCCCGTTTTGAAAAAGGAAGTATCTTCACCTAAAAACCAGACAGGAGATTTCTGAAAAACCTCTTTGTGATGTGTGAATTCATGTCACAGAATTCAACCTTTCTTTCACTTGAGCAGTTTGGAAACAGTCTTTGGTAGAAGCTGCAGAGGGAAATTTCTTAGCTGCTTGAGGCCTATGGTGAAAAAGAAATATCTTCACAGAAAAACTAGACAGAAGCTTTCTGAGAAACTTCTTCATGATGTGTCCATTCATCACACAGAGTTAAACCTTTCTTTTGATTGAGGAGTTTGGAAAACGTCTTTTCTTAGAATCTGCGAAGGGATATTTGTGAGCCCTTTATGGCCTTTGTTGAAATATGAAATATCTTCACATAAAAAGTAGACAGAGGCTTTCTGACAAATTTCTTGGTGATGTGCACGTTTGTCACACGGAATTGAACCCTTCTTCTGATTGAGCAGTTTGGAATCAGTCTTTTTGTAGAATCTGTGAATGTGTATTTAGAGAGTTTTAAGGCCTAGGGTGCAAGAGGCAATGTCTTCACATAAAAACGACACAGTAGCTTTTTGAGAAAACTCTTTGCGACATTTCCATTCATCTCTAATAGTTGACCATTTCCTTTCATTGAGCAGTTTGGAAGCAGTCTTTTTCTACAAACTGCAAAGGGATATTTCTGAGCGGTTTTGGGCCATCGGTGAAAAATAAATGTCTTCCCATGAAAACTAGACAGAAGCATTTTGAGAAACTTCTTTTTGATGTGTGTATTCATCTCAAAGAGTTGAACCTTTCTTTTGATTTAGCAATTTGGAGAAAGTCTCTTGGTAGTATAAGTGGAGTTATATTTGCGAGCGGTTTAAGGTCTATGGTGCCAAAGGAAATACCTTCACATAAAATGCAGACAGAGGCTTTCCGAGAAACTTCTTTGTGATGTGTGCTTTCGTCTCACAGAGTTGCGCCTTTCTTTTGATTGACCAGTTTGGGAACATTCTTTTTGTAGAATCTGCAAATGGATATTTGGAGCAATTTGTGGCCTACGGTGAAAAAGGAAATATCTTCACATAAAAACTAGACAGGAGAATCCTGAGAAACTTCTTTTTGATGAGTGCATTCATTTCACATAGTTGAAACATGCTATATGGGCCAGTTTGGAAACAGTCTTTTTGTAGAGTCTGCAGACAGGTATGTTTGAGTGGCTTAAAGACCATGGTGAAAAAGGAAACATCTTCACATAGCAACCAGACAGAAGCAACCTGAGAAACGTCTTTGGGATGTGTTCATTCATCTCACAATGTTGAACGTTTCTTTTGATTGAGAAGTTTGTAAGGAGAACATTTGTAGAATCTGCAAAGGGGTATATGTGAGCCCCTTGATTCCTATGGCAAAATAGGAATTATCTTGAGATAAAAGCGAGACAGAAGATTTCTGAGAAACTTTTTTGTGATGTGTGCTTTCATCTCACAGAGTTGAAAATTTCTTTTGATTGAGCAGTGTGGAAACAGTCTTTTCGTATCATCTGCAAATGGATGTTTGGGGCGCTTTGTGGCCTAATGTGAAAATGGAAACACCTTCACATAAAAACTAGACAGAAGAATTCTGAGGAACTTCTGTATGATGTGTGCATTCATCTCAGATAGGTGAAATTTTCTTTTGATGGAGCAGTTTGGAAACCGTCTTTTTATAGTATCTGCAGAAGGATATTCGTGAGCGGTGTAAGACCTATGGTGAAAAAGGAAATATCTTCACATAAAAACCAGACAGAAGCTTTCTGAGGAACTTCTTTGTGATGTGTACATTCATCTCACCGTGTTGAAACTTTATTTTATTTGAGCAGTTTAGAGACAGTCTTTCTCTGCAATCTGCAAAGGTCTAATTCTGAGCCCTTTGAGGTCTATGGTGAAAAAGAAATATCTTCACATTTAAACTAGACAGAAGCATTCTGAGGAACTTCTTCGTGATGTCTCCATTCATCTGACAGAGTTGAAGGTTTCTTTTAATTCAGCACTTTGGAAAGCATATTTTTGTAGAATCTGCAAAGGGATATTTTTGAGACATTTGAAGCCTATAGTGAAATAGTAAATATCTTCACGTGAAAACTAGACAGGAGAATTCTGAGAAACTTCATTCTGATGTGTGCATTAACCTCACAGAATGTAACCTTTCTTTTGATTGAGAAGTATGGAAATGGTGGTCTTTTAGAATCTGGAAAGGGATATTTCTTAGCCCTTTGAGGCCTATGGTGAGACTGGAAATATCATCACATGAAAACTAGACCGAAGCTTTCGGAGAAACTTCTTTGAGATGTGTGCTTTCACCTCACAGAGTTAAACACTTTCTTTTGATGGAGCAGTTTGGAAACACTCTTTCTGTGACATCTGTAAATGGATATTAGGAGTGCTTTGAGGCCAATGGTGACAAAGGAAGTATCTTCACAGAAAAACTACACAGA
>NC_000022.11:13163777-13227312 GCF_000001405.40 Homo sapiens
AGCTTTCTGAGCAAACTTCTTTGTGATGTGTGCATTCATCTCACAGTGTTGAAACTTTATTTTATTTGAGCAGTTTAGAGACAGACTTTTTCTGCAATCTGCAAAGGTATATTTCTGAGCCATTTGAGGTCTGTGGTGAAAAAGGAATATCTTCACATTTAAACTAGACAGAAGAATTCTGAGAAACTTCTTTATGATGTGTGCATTCATCTCAGGTAGGTGAAATTTTCTTTTGATGGAGCAGTTTGGAAACAGTCTTTTTCTAGTATCTGCAGAAGGATATTTGTGAGCGGTGTAAGGACTACGCTGAAAAAGGAAATATCTTCACATAAAAACTAGACAGAAGATTTCTGAGAAACTTTTTTGTGATGGGTGCTTTCATCTCACAGAGTTGAAAATTTCTTTTGATTGAGCAGTTTGGAAACAGTCTTTTCGTATCATCTGCAAAGGGATGTGTGGAGCGCTTTGTGGCCTAACGTGAAAATGGAAATATCTTCACATAAAATCTAGACAGAAGCATTCTGAGAAACTTCTTTGTGATGTGTTCATTCATCTCACAATGTTGAACGTTTCTTTTGATTGAGAGGTTTGTAAACACAACTTTTGTAGAATCTGCAAAGGGATATTTGTGAGCCCCTTGATTCCTATGGCAAAATAGGAATTATCTTGTCATAAAAACTAGACAGGAGAATTCTGAGAAACTTCTCTTTGATGAGTGCATTCATTTCACATAGTTGAAACATGCTATATGGGCCAGTTTGGAAACAGTCTTTTTGTAGGGTCTGCAGACAGATATTTTTGAGTGGCTTAAAGACTGTGGTGAAAAAAGAAATATCTTCACAGAGTAACCAGACAGAAGCTTTCTGAGAAACTTCTTTATGATGTGTGCTTTCGTCTCAGAGAGTTGAGCCTTTCTGTTGATTGACCAGTTTGGAAACATTCTTTCTGTAGAATCCGCAAATGGATATTTGGAGCAATTTGCGGCCTACGGTGAAGAAGGAAATATCTTCACATAAAAACTAGACAGAAGCATTTTGAGAAACTTCTTTTTGATGTGTGTATTCATCTCACAGAGTTGAACGTTTCTTTTGATTTAGCGATTTGGAGAAAGTCTCTTGGTAGTATAAGCGGAGTTATGTTTGTGAGTGGTTTAAGGCCTACGGTGCCAAAGGAAATACCTTCACATAAAATGTAGACAGAAGCATTTTGAGAGAACTCCTTGTGACATTTCCATTCATCTCTAATAGTTGACCATTTCTTCTCATTGAGCAGTTTGGAAACAGTCTTTTCCTACAAACTGCAAAGGGATATTTCTGAGCCGTTTGGGGCCAATGGTGAAAAATAAATATCTTCACATGAAAACTAGGCAGAAGCTTTCTGAGAAACTCCTTTGTGGTGTGCACGTTTGTATCACAGAGTTGAACCTTTCATTTGATTGAGCAGTTTGGAAACAGTCTTTTTGTAGAATCTGCAAATGTATATTTGGAGTGTTTTAAGGCCTATAGTGAAAAAGGAAATATCTTCACATAAAAACTACACAGTAGCTTTCTGAGAAACTTCTTTGTGATGTGTCCCTTCATCGCACAGAGTGAAACCTGTCTTTTGATTTAGGAGTTTGAAAAATGTCTTTTCTTAGAATCTGCAAAGGGATATTTGTGAGCCCTTTATGGCCTTTGTTGAAATATGAAATATCTTCACGTAAAAAGTAGAGAGAAAGATTTCTGAAAAACCTCTTTGTGATGTGTGAATTCATGTCACAGAATTCAACCTTCCTTTCAGTTGAGCAGTTTGGAACCAGTCTTTTGTAGAAGCTGCAGAGGGAAATTTCTTAGCTGCTTGAGGCCTATGGTGAACAAGAAATAGCCTCACATAAAAACTAGACAGAAGATTTCTGAGAAACTTCTTTGTGATGTGTGCCTTCAACTCACTGTGTTGAAACTTTCTTTTGATTGAGCAGTTTGGGAAGTCTTTCTGTAGAATCTGCAAATGGATATTTGGAGATATTTGAGGCCCTTGGTGAAAAAGGAAGTATCTTCACATAAAAACTAGACAGAATCATTCCAAGAAATTTCCTGCGATGTGTCCATTCACGTCACAGAGTTGAACCTTTCTTTTGATTGAGCAGTTTGGAAACAGTCTTTTTGTAGAACCTGCAAAGGGATATTTGTGAGCCCCTTATGGCCTGTGGTGAAATACGAAATATCTTCACATAAAAACTAGACAGGAGCTTTCTGAGAAACTCCCTTGCGATGTGTGTATTCACCTCACCGAGTGGAAACTTTCTTTTGATTGAGCAGATTGGAAAGAGACTTATCGTACAATCTGCAAAGGGAGAATTCTGATCCGTTTGAGGCTAATGGTGAAAGAGAAACATCTTCCCATAAAAACTAGACGGAAGCTTTCTAAGAAACTTCGGTGTGATGTGTGTTTTCATCTCACGGAATTGAAACTTTCTTTTGATTGAGGAGTTTGGAAACACTCTTTTTCTAGAATCTGCAAATGGATATTTGGAGAGCTCCTGAGGCCCATGTTGAAAAACGAAACATCTTCACGTAAAAACTAAACAGAAGCATTCTGAGGAACTTCTTTGTGATGTGTGCATTCATCTCACATAGTTGAAACTTTCTTTGGATTGAGCAGTTTTGAAACAGTCTTTTTGTAGAATCTGCCAAGGGATATTTCTGAGCCCATTGAGTACTATGATGCACTGTGAAGTATCTTCACATAAAAACTAGACAGAAGTTTTCTGAGAAACTACTTTTCGATGTGTCCATTAATCAAACAGAGTTAAAACTTTCTTTTTATTGAGCAGTTTGGATACAGTCTTTCTTTAGAATCTGCAAAAAATATTTGCGAGCCCTTTATTGCCTATGGTGAAATAGGAATCTTCTTCACATATAAACTGGACAGAAGCTTTCTGAGAAACTCCTTTGAGATGTGTGTTTTCACCTCACTGAGTTAAACACTTTCTTTTGATTGAGCTGTTTGGAAACACTCTTTTTGTGAAATCTGTAAATGGATATTAGGAGTGCTTTGAGGCCAATGGTGACAAAGGAAATATCTTCACATAAAAACTAAACAGAAGAATTCTGAGAAACTTCATTCTGACGTGGGCATTAACCTCAGAGAATTTAACCTTTCTTTTGATTGAGAAGTATGGAAACGGTCGTCTTTTAAAATCTGGAATGGGATATTTCTTAGCCCTTTGAGGCCTACGGTGAAACTGGAAATATCTTCACATGAAAAGTAGACCGAAGCATTCCGAGGAACTTCTTTGTGATGTCTCTATTCATCTGACAGATTTGAAGGTTTCTTTTAATTCAGCACTTTGGAAAGCATATTTTTGTAGAATCTGCAAAGGGATATTTTTGAGACCTTTGAAGCCTATAGTGAAATAGTAAATATCTTCACATAGAAACTAGACAGGAGCTTTCTGAGAAACTTCTTTGTGATGTGTGCATTCATCTCACAGTGTTGAAACTTTATTTTATTTGAGCAGTTTAGAGACAGTCTCTTTCTACAATCTGCAAAGGTATATTTCTGAGCCATTTGAGGTCTGTGGTGAAAAAGGATTATCTTCACATTTAAACTAGACAGAAGAATTCTGAGAAACTTTTTTAAGATGTGTGCATTCAGCTCAGGTAGGTGAAATTTTCTTTTGAGGGAGCAGTTTGGAAACAGTCTTTTTCTAGTATCTGCAGAAGGATATTTGTGAGCGGTGTAAGGACTATGGTGAAAAAGGAAATATCTTCACATAAAAACTAGACAGAAGATATCTGAGAAACTTTTTTGTGATGGGTGCTTTCATCTCACAGAGTTGAAAATTTCTTTTGATTGAGCAGTTTGGAAACAGTCTTTTCGTATCATCTGCAAAGGGATGTTTGGAGCGCTTTGTGGCCTAAGGTGAAAATGGAAATATCCTCACATAAAATTCTAGACAGAAGCATTCTGAGAAACTTCTTTGTGATGTGTTCATTCACCTCACAATGTTGAACGTTTCTTTTGATTGAGAGGTTTGTAAACAGAACTTTTGTAGAATCTGCAAAGGGATATTTGTGAGCCCCTTGATTCCTATGGCAAAATAGGAATTCTCTTTAGATAAAAACTAGACAGAAGAATTCTGAGAAACTTCTCTTTGATGAGTGCATTCATTTCACATTGTTGAAACATGCTATATGGGCCATTTTGGAAACAGTCTTTTTGTAGTGTCTGCAGACAGATATTTTTGAGTGGCTTAAAGACTGTGGTGAAAAAAGAAATATCTTCACAGAGTAACCAGACAGAAGCTTTCTGAGAAACTTCTTTGTGATGTGTGCTTTCGTCTCACAGAGTTGAGCCTTTCTGTTGATTGACCAGTTTGGAAACATTCTTTCTGTAGAATCCGCAAATGGATATTTGGAACAATTTGCGGCCTACGGTGAAGAAGGAAATATCTTCACATAAAAACTAGACAGAAGCATTTTGAGAAACTTCTTTGTGATGTGTGCATTCTTCTCAAAGAGTTGAAACTTTCTTTTGATTTAGCAATTTGGAGAAAGTCTCTTGGTAGTATAAGTGGAGTTATATTTGTGAGCGGTTTAAGGCCTATGGTGCAAAAGGAAATACTTTCACATGAAATGTAGACAGAAGCTTTATGTGAAAACTCTTTGTGACATTTCCATTCATCTCTAATAGTTGACCATTTCTTTTCATTGAGCAGTTTGGAAACAGTCTTTTCCTACAAACTGCAAAGGGATATTTCTGAGCCGTTTGGGGCCAATGGTGAAAAATAAATATCTTCCCATGAAAACTAGACAGAAGCTTTCTGACAAATTTCTTGGTGATGTGCACGTTTGTCACACGGAATTGAACCCTTCTTCTGATTGAGCAGTTTGGAATCAGTCTTTTTGTAGAATCTGTGAATGTGTATTTAGAGAGTTTTAAGGCCTAGGGTGCAAAAGGCAATGTCTTCACATAAAAACGACACAGTAGCTTTCTGAGAAACTTCTTTGTGATGTGTCCATTCATCGCACAGAGTGAAACCTTTCTTATGATTGAGGAGTTTGGAAAATGTCTTTCCTTAGAATCTGCAAAGGGATATTTGTGAGCCCTTTATGGCCTTTGTTGAAATATGAAATATCTTCACATAAAAAGTAGACAGAAGATTTCTGAAAAACCTCTCTGTGATGTGTGAATTCATGTCACAGAATTCAACCTTCCTTTCAGTTGAGCAGTTTGGAACCAGTCTTTTGTAGAAGCTGCAGAGGGAAATTTCTTAGCTGCTCGAGGCCTATGGTGAACAAGAAATAGCCTCACATAAAAAGTAGACAGAAGTATTTTGAGAAACTTCTTTGTGATGTGTGCTTTCATTTCACAGAGTTGAATCTTTCTTTTGATTGAGCAGCTTGGAAACAGTCTTTTTGTACAAGCTGCAAAGGGATATTTCTGAGCCATTTGAGGCTTATGGTGAAAACGAAATATCTGCACATAAAAACCTGACAGAATCATTCCAAGAAATTGTTTGTGATGTGTCCATTCACGTCACAGAGTTGAACCTTTCTTTTGATTGAGCAGTTTGGCAACAGACTTTTTGTGGAACCTGCAAAGGGATATTTGTGAGCCCCTTATGGCCTGTGGTGAAATACGAAATATCTTCACATAAAAACTAGACAGGAGCTTTCTGAGAAACTCCCTTGTGATGTGTGCATTCACCTCACAGAGTTGAAACTTTCTTTTGATTGAGCAGATTGGAAAGAGGCTTATTGTACAATCTGCAAAGGGAGAATTCTGATCCTTTTGAGGCTTCTGGTGAAAGAGAAACATCTTCCCATAAAAACTAGACGGAAGCTTTCTAAGAAACTTCGGTGTGATGTGTGCTTTCATCTCACAGAATTGAAACTTTCTTTTGATTGAGGAGTTTGGAAACACTCTTTTTCTAGAATCTGCAAATGGATATTTGGAGAGCTTTTGAGGCCCATGTTGAAAAACGAAACATCTTCACGTAAAAACGAAACAGAAGCAGTCTGAGAAACTTCTTTGTGATGTATGCATTCATCTCACATAGTTGAAACTGTCTTTGGATTGAGCAGTTTGGAAACAGTCCTCTTGTAGAATCTGCAAAGGGATATTTCTGAGCCCATTGAGTACTATGGTGCAATGTGAAATATCTTCACATAAAAACTAGACAGAAGTTTTCTGAGAAACTACTTTTCGATGTGTCCATTAATCAAACAGAGTTAAAACTTTCTTTTTATTGAGCAGTTTGGATACAGTCTTTCTGTAGAATCTGCAAAAAATATTTGCGAGCCCTTTATTGCCTATGGTGAAATAGGAATCTTCTTCACATATAAACTGGACAGAAGCTTTCTGAGAAACTTCATTGAGATGTGTGCTTTCACCTCACAGAGTTAAACACTTTCTTTTGATTGAGCTGTTTGGAAACACTCTTTTCGTGAAATCTGTAAATGGATATTAGGAGTGCTTTGAGGCCAATGGTGGCAAAGGAAATATCTTCTCATAAAAACTAAAGAGAAGAATTCTGAGAAACTTCATTCTGATGTGTGCATTCACCTCACAGAATTTAAGCTTTCTTTTGATTGAGCAGTATGGAAATGGTTGTCTTTTAGAATCTGGAAAGGGATATTTCTTAGCCCTTTGAGGCCTACGGTGAAACTGGAAATATCTTTACATGAAAACTAGACCAAAGCATTCTGAGGAACTTCTTTGTGATGTCTTCATTCATCTGACAGAGTTGAAGGTTTCTTTTAATTCACACTTTTGAAACCATATTTTTGTAGAATCTGCAAAGGGATATTTTTGAGACATTTGAAGCTTATAGTGACATAGTAAATATTGTCACATAAAAACTAGACAGGAGCTCTCTGAGAAACTTCTTTGTGATGTGTGCATTCATCTCACAGTGTTGAAACTTTATTTTATTTGAGCAGTTTAGAGACAGTCTTTTTCTGCAATCTGCAAAGGCATATTTCTGAGCCATTTGAGGTCTGTGGTGAAAGAGAAATATCTTCACATTTAAACTAGACAGAAGAATTCTGAGAAACTTCTTTGTGATGAGTCTATTCATCTCACAGAGTTGAAACATTCTTTGATGGACCAGTTTGGAAACAGTCTTTTTATAGTATCTGCAGAGGGATATTTTTGAGCGGTTTAAAGACTATGGTGAAAAAGGAAATATCTTCACATAATAACTAGACAGAAGATTTCTGAGAAACTTTTCTGTGATGTGTGCTTTCATCTCACAGAGTTGAAAATTTCTTTTGATTGAGCAGTTTGGAAACAGTCTTTTCGTATCATCTGCAAAGGGATGTTTGGAGCGCTTTGTGGCCTGAGGTGAAAATGCAAATATCTTCACATAAAATCTAGACAGAAGCATTCTGAGAAACTTCTTTGTGATGTGTTCATTCATCTCACAATGTTGAACGTTTCTTTTGATTGAGAGGTTTGTAAACAGAACTTTTGTAGAATCTGCAAAGGGATATTTGTGAGCCCCTTGATTCCTATGGCAAAATAGTAATTATCTTGAGATAAAAACTAGACAGGAGAATTCTTAGAAACTTCTCTTTGATGAGTGCATTCATTTCACATAGTTGAAACATGCTATATGGGCCAGTTTGGAAACAGTCTTTTTGTAGTGTCTGCAGACAGATATTTTTGAGTGGCTTAAAGACTGTGGTGAAAAAAGAAATATCTTAACAGAATAACCAGACAGAAGCTTTCTGAGAAACTTCTTTGTGATGTGTGCTTTCGTCTCACAGAGTTGAGCCTTTCTGTTGATTGACCAGTTTGGAAACATTATTTCTGTAGAATCCGCAAATGGATATTTGGAGCAATTTGCGGCCTATGGTGAAGAAGGAAATATCTTCACATAAAAACTAGACAGAAGCATTTTGAGAAACTTCTTTTTGATGTGTGTATTCATCTCACAGAGTTGAACGTTTCTTTTGATTTTGCAATTTGGAGAAAGTCTCTTGGTAGTATAAGCAGAGTTATGTTTGTGAGTGGTTTAAGGCCTACGGTGCCAAAGGAAATACCTTCACATAAAATGTAGACAGAAGCTTTTTGAGAAAACTCTTTGTGACATTTCCATTCATCTCTAATAGTTGACCATTTCTTTTCATTGAGCAGTTTGGAAACAGTCTTTTCCTACAAACTGCAAAGGGATATTTCTGAGCCGTTTGGGGTCAATGGTGAAAAATAAATATCTTCACATGAAAACTAGACAGAAGCTTTCTGACAAATTTCTTTGTGATGTGCACGTTTGTCACACGGAATTGAACCTTTCTTCTGATTGAGCAGTTTGGAATCCGTCTTTTTGTAGAATCTGTGAATGTATATTTAGAGAGTTTTAAGGCCTAGAGTGAAAAAGGAAACGTCTTCACATAAAAACGACACAGTAGCTTTCTAAGAAACTTCTTTGTGATGTGTCCATTCATCTCACAGAGTTAAACCTTTCTTTTGATTGAGGAGTTTGGAAAATGTCTTCTCTTAGAATCTGCAAAGGGATATTTGTGAGCCCTTTATGGCCTATGTTGAAATATGAAATATCTTCACATAAAAACTAGACAGAAGATTTCTGAAAAACTTCTTTGTGATGTGTGAATTCATGTCACAGAATTCAACCTTTCTTTCGATTGAGCAGTTTGGAAACAGTCTTTTGTAGAAGCTGCAAAGGGAAATTTCTTAGCCGTTTGAGGCCTATAGTGAAAAAGAAATATCTTCACATAAAAACTAGACAGAAGATTTCTGAGAAACTTCTTTGTGATGTGTGCCTTCATCTCACTGTGTTGAACCTTTCTTTTGATTGAGCAGTTTGGGAAGTCTTTCTGTAGAATCTGCAAATGGATATTTGGAGATATTTGAGGCCCTTGGTGATAAAGGAAGTATCTTCACATAAAAACTAGACAGAATCATTCCGAGAAATTTTTTGTGATGTGTCCATTCACGTCACAGAGTTGAACCTTTCCTTTGATTGAGCAGTTTAGAAACAGTCTTTGTGTAGAACCTGCAAACAGATATTTGTGAGCCCCTTATGGCCTGTGGTGAAATATGAAATATCTTCACATAAAAACTAGACAGGAGCTTTCTGAGAAACTCCCTTGTGATGTGTGCATTCACCTCACAGAGTTGAAACTTTCTTTTGATTGAGCAGATTGGAAAGAGGCTTATTGTACAATCTGCAAAGGGAGAATTCTGATCCGTTTGAGGCTAATGGTGAAAGAGAAACATACTTCCCATAAAAACTAGACGGAACGCTTTCTAAGAAACTTCGTTGTGATGTGTGCTTTCGTCTCACAGAATTGAAACTATCCTTTGATTGAGGAGTTTGGAAACACTCTTTTTCTAGAATATGCAAATGGATATTTGGAGAGCTTTTGAGGCCCGTGGTGAAAAACGAAATATCTTCACGTAAAAACTAAACAGAAGCATTCTGAGGAACTTCTTTGTGATGTGTGCATTCATCTCACATAGTTGAAACTTTCTTTGGATTGAGCAGTTTTGAAACAGTCCTTTTGTAGAATCTGCCAAGGGATATTTCTGAGCCCATTGAGCACTATGATGCACTGTGAAGTATCTTCACATAAAAACTAGACAGAAGTTTCCTGAGAAACTACTCTTTGATGTGTCCATTAATCTAACAGAGTTGAAACTTTCTTTTTATTGAGCAGTTTGGATACGGTCTTTTTGTAGAATCTGCAAAAAATATTTGTGAGCCCTTTATTGCCTATGGTGAAGTAGGAATTTTCTTCACATATAAACTAGACAGAAGCTTTCTGAGAAACTTCTTTGAGATGTGTGCTTTCACCTCACAGAGTTAAACACTTTCTTTTGATTGAGCTGTTTGGAAACACTCTTTTTGTGAAATCTGTAAATGGATATTAGGAGGGCTTTGAGGCCAATTGTGACAAAGGAAATATCTTCACGTAAAAACTAAACAGAAGAATTCTGAAAACTTTCATTCTGACGTGGGCATTAACCTCAGAGAATTTAACTTTCTTTTGATTGAGAAATATGGAAACGGTCGTCTTTTAGAATCTGGAAAGGGATATTTCTTAGCCCTTTGAGGCATATGGTGAAACTGGAAATATCTTCACATGAAAAGTAGACCGAAGCATTCTGAGGAACTTCTTTGTGAGGTCTCCATTCATCTGACAGAGTTGAAAGTTTCTTTTAATTCAGCACTTTGGAAACCATATTTTTGTAGAATCTGCAAAGGGATATTTTTGAGACATTTGAAGCCTATAGTGAAATAGTAAATATCTTCACATAAAAACTAGACAGGAGCTTTCTGAGAAACTTCTTTGTGATGTGGTGCATTCATCTCACAGTGTTGAAACTTTATTTTGTTTGAGCAGTTCAGAAACAGTCTTTTTCTGCAATCTGCAAAGGTATATTTCTGAGACATTTGAGGTCTATGGTGAAAAAGAGATATCTTCACATTTTAACTAGACAGAAGAATTCTGAGAAACTTCTTTATGATGTGTGCATTCATCTCAGGTAGGCGAAATTTTCTTTTGATGGAGCAGTTTGGAAACAGTCTTTTTCTAGTATCTGCAGAAGGATATTTGTGAGCGGTGTAAGGACTATGGTGAAAAAGGAAATATCTTCACATAAAAACTAGACAGAAGATTTCTGAGAAACTTTTTTGTGATGGTTGCTTTCATCTCACAGAGTTGAAAATTTCTTTTGATTGAGCAGTTTGGAAACAGTCTTTTCGTATCATCTGCAAAGGGATGTGTGGAGCGCTCTGTGGCCTAAGGTGAAAATGGAAATATCTTCACATAAAATCTAGACAGAAGCATTCTGAGAAACTTCTTTGTGATGTGTTCATTCATCTCACAATGTTGAAGGTTTCTTTTGATTGAGAGGTTTGTAAACAGAACTTTTGTAGAATCCGCAAAGGGATATTTGTGAGCCCCTTGATTCCTATGGCAAAATAGGAATAATCTTGAGATAAAAACTAGACAGAAGCTTTCTGAGAAACTTCTTTGTGATGTGTGCATTCATCACACAGTGTTGAAACTTTATTTTGTTTGAGCAGTTTAGAAACAGTCTTTTACTGCAATCTGCAAAGGTATATTTCTGAGCCATTTGAGGTCTATGGTGAAAAAGAAATATCTTCACATTGAAACTAGACAGAAGCTTTCTGAGAAACTTTGTAATGTGTGTTTTTGTCTCACAGATTTGAGCCTTTCTTTTGATTGACCAGTTTGGAAACATTCTTTTTGTAGAATCTGCAAATGGATATTTGGAACAATTTGAGACCTATGGTGAAAAAGGAAATATCTTCACATAAAAACTAGACAGAAGCATTTTGAGAAACTTCTTTGTGATGTGTGCATTCTTCTCACAGAGTTGAACCTTTCTTTGGATTTAGCAATTTGGAGAAAGTCTCTTGGTAGTACAAGTGGAGTTATATTTGTGAGCGATTTAAGGCCTATGGTGCAAAAGGAAACACCTTCACATAAAAAGTAGACAGAAGCTTTTTGAGGAAACTCTTTGTGACATTTCCATTCATCTCTAATAGTTGACCATTTCTTTTCATTGAGCAGTTTGGAAACAGTCTTTTCCTACAAACTGCAAAGGGATATTTCTGAGTCGTTTGGGGCCAATGGTGAAAAATAAATATCTTCACATGAAAACTAGACAGAAGCTTTCTGACAAATTTCTTTGTGATGTGCACCGTTTGTCACACGGAGTTGAACCTTTCTTCTGATTGAGCAGTTTGGAATCAGTCTTTTTGTAGAATCTGTGAATGTATATTTAGAGAGTTTTAAGGCCTAGAGTGAAAAAGGAAACGTCTTCACATAAAAACGACACAGTAGCTTTCTAAGAAACTTCCTTGTGATGTGTCCATTCATCTCACAGAGATAAACCTTTCTTTTGATCAAGGAGTTTGGGAAATGTCTTTTCTTAGAATCTGCAAAGGGATATTTGTGAGCCCTTTATGGCCTATGTTGAAATATGAAATATCTTCACATAAAAACTAGACAGAAGATTTCTGAAAAACCTCTTTGTGATGTGTGAATTCATGTCACAGAATTCAACCTTCCTTTCAGTTGAGCAGTTTGGCACCAGTCTTTTGTAGAACCTGCAGAGGGAAATTTCTTAGCTGCTTGAGGCCTATGGTGAACAAGAAATAGCCTCACATAAAAAGTAGACAGAAGATTTCTGAGAAACTTCTTTGTGATGTTTGCTTTCGTCTCACAGTGTTGAACCTTTCTTTTGATTGAGCAGTTTGGAAAGTCTTTTTGTAGAATCTGCAAATGGATATTTGGAGCTATTTGAGGCCCATGGTGAAAAAGGAAGTATCTTCACATAAAAACTAGACAGAATCATTCCGAGAAATTTTTTGTGATGTGTCCATTCACGTCACAGAGTTGAACCTTTCTTTTGATTGAGCAGTTTGGAAACAGTCTTTTTGTAGAACCTGCAAAGGGATATTTGTGAGCCCCTTATGGCCTGTGGTGAAATACGAAATATATTCACATAAAAACTAGACAGGAGCTTTCTGAGAAACTCCCTTGTGATGTGTGCATTCACCTGACAGAGTTGAAACTTTCTTTTGAATGAGCAGATTGGAAAGAGGCTTATTGTACAATCTGCAAAGGGAGAATTCTGATCCGTTTGAGGCTTCTGGTGAAAGAGAAACATCTTCCCACAAAATCTAGACGGAAGCTTTCTAAGAAACTTCGTTGTGATGTGTGCTTTCATCTCACAGAATTGAAACTTTCTTTTGATTGAGGAGTTTGGAAACCCTCTTTTTCTAGAATCTGCAAATGGATAATTGGAGAGCTTTTGAGGCCCATGTTGAAAAACGAAACATCTTCACGTAAAAACTAAACAGAAGCATTCTGAGAAACTTCTTTGTGATGTGTGCATTAATCTCACAGAGTTGAAACTTTCTTTGGATTGAGCAGTTTGGAAACAGTCTTTTTGTAGAATCTGCAAAGGGATATTTCTGAGTCCATTGAGTACTATGGAGAAATGTGAAATATCTTCACATAAAAACTAGACAGAAGTTTTCTGAGAAACTACTCTTTTATGTGTCCATTAATCTAACAGAGTTGAAACTTTCTTTTTATTGAGCAGTTTGGATACGGTCTTTTTGTAGAATCTGCAAAAAATATTTGTGAGCCCTTTATTGCCTATGGTGAAGTAGGAATTTTCTTCACATATAAACTAGACAGAAGCTTTCTGAGAAACTTCTTGGAGATGTGTGCTTTCACCTCACAGAGTTAAACACTTTCTTTTGATTGAGCTGTTTGGAAACACTCTTTTTGTGAAATCTGTAAATGGATATTAGGAGTGCTTCGAGGCCAATGGTGACAAAGGAAATATCTTCACATAAAAACTAAACAGAAGAATTCTGAGAAACTTCATTCTGACGTGGGCATTAAACTCAGAGAATTTAACCTTTCTTTTGATTGAGAAGTATGGAAACGGTCGTCTTTTAGAATCTGGAAAGGGATATTTCTTAGCCCTTTGAGGCCTACGGTGAAACTGGAAATATCTTCACATGAAAAGTAGACCGAAGAATACTGAGTAACTTCTTTGTGATGTCTCCATTCATCTGACAGAGTTGAAGGTTTCTTTTAATTCAGCACTGTGGAAACCGTATTTTTGTAGAATCTGCAAAGGGATATTTTTGAGACCTTTGAAGCCTATAGTGAAATAGTAAATATCTTCACATAGAAACTAGACAGGAGATTTCTGAGAAACTTCTTTGTGATGTGTGCATTCATCTCACAGTGTTGAAACTTTATTTTGTTTGAGCAGTTTAGAAACAGTCTTTTCCTGCATTCTGCAAAGGTGTATTTCTGAGCCATTTGAGGTCTATGTGAAAAAGAAATATCTTCACATTTAAACTAGACAGAAGAATTCTGAGAAACTTCTTTGTGATGTGTGCATTCATCTCAGAGAGGTGAACTTTTCTTTTGATGGAGCAGTTTGGAAACAGTATTTTTTTAGTATCTGCAGAAGGATATTTGTGAGCAGTTTAAGGCCTATGGTGAAAAAGGAAATATCTTCACATAAAAACTAGACAGGAGATTTCTGAGAAACTTTTTTGTGATGAGTGCTTTCATCTCACAGAGTTGAAAATTTCTTTTGATTGAGCAGTTTGGAAACAGTCTTTTCGTATCATCTGCAAAGGGATGTTTGGAGCGCTTTGTGGCCTAAGGTGAAAATGGAAATATCTTCACATAAAATCTAGACAGAAGCATTCCGAGAAACTTCTTTGTGATGTGTGCATTCATCTCACAATGTTGAACGTTTCTTTTGATTGAGCAGTTTGGAAACAGAACTTTTGTAGAATCTGCAAAGGGATATTTGTGAGCCCATTGATTCCTATGGCAAAATAGGAATTATCTTGAGATAAAAACTAGACAGAAGAATTCGGAGAAACTTCTCTTTGATGAGTGCATTCATTTCACATAGTTGAAACATGCTATATGGGCCAGTTTGAAAACAGACTTTTTGTAGTGTCTGCAGACAGATATTTTTGAGTGGCTTAAAGACTGTGGTGAAAAAAGAAATATCTTCACAGAGTAACCAGACAGAGGCTTTCCGAGAAACTTCTTTGTGATGTGTGCTTTCGTCTCACAGAGTTGCGCCTTTCTTTTGATTGACCAGTTTGGGAACATTCTTTTTGTAGAATCTGCAAATGGATATTTGGAGCAATTTGTGGCCTACGGTGAAAAAGGAAATATCTTCACAGAAAAACTAGACAGGAGCATTTTGAGAAACTTCTTTTTGATGTGTGTATTCTTCTCACAGAGTTGAACGTTTCTTTTGATTTAGCAATTTGGAGAAAGTCTCTTGGTAGTATAAGCGGAGTTATGTTTGTGAGTGGTTTAAGGCCTACGGTGCCAAAGGAAATACCTTCACATAAAATGTAGACAGAAGCTTTTTGAGAAAACTCTTTGTGACATTTCCATTCATCTCTAATAGTTGACCATTTCTTTTCATTGAGCAGTTTGGAAACAGTCTTTTCCTACAAACTGCAAAGGGATATTTCTGAGCCGTTTGGGGCCAATGGTGAAAAATAACCATCTTCACATGAAAACTAGACATAAGGTTTCTGACAAATTTCTTTGTGATGTGCACGTTTGTCACACGGAATTGAACCTTTCTTCTGATTGAGCAGTTTGGAATCAGTCTTTTTGTAGAATCTGTGAATGCATATTTAGAGAGTTTTAAGGCCTAGAGTGAAAATGGAAACGTCTTCACATAAAAACGACACAGTAGCTTTCTGAGAAACTTCTTTGTGATGTGTCCATTCATCGCACAGAGTGGAACCTTTCTTTTGATTGAGGAGTTTGGAAAATGTCTTTTCTTAGAATCTGCAAAGGGATATTTGTGAGCCCTTTATGGCCTTTGTTGAAATATGAAATATCTTCACATAAAAAGTAGACAGAAGATTTCTGAAAAACCTCTTTGTGATGTGTGAATTCATGTCACAGAATTCAACCTTCCTTTCAGTTGAGCAGTTTGGAACCAGTCTTTTGTAGAAGCTGCAGAGGAAATTTCTTAGCTGCTTGAGGCCTATGGTGAACAAGAAATAGCCTCACATAAAAACTAGACAGAAGATTTCTGAGAAACTTCTTTGTGATGTGTGCCTTCATCTCACTGTGTTGAACCTTTCTTTTGATTGAGCAGTTTGGGAAGTCTTTCTGTAGAATCTGCAAATGGATATTTGGAGATATTTGAGGCCCTTGGTGAAAAAGGAAGTATCTTCCCACAAAAACTAGACAGAATCATTCCAAGAAATTTTCTGTGATGTGTCCATTCACGTCACAGAGTTGAACCTTTCTTTTGATTGAGCAGTTTGGAAACAGTCTTTTTGTAGAACCTGCAAAGGGATATTTGTGAGCCCCTTATGGCCTGTGGTGAAATACGAAATATCTTCACATAAAAACTAGACAGGAGCTTTCTGAGAAACTCCCTTGTGATGTGTGCATTCACCTCAGAGAGTTGAAACTTTCTTTTGATTGAGCAGATTGGAAAGAGGCTTATTGTACAAACTGCAAAGGGAGAATTCTGATCCGTTTGAGGCTTATGGTGAAAGAGAAACATCTTCCCATAAAAACTAGACGGAAGCTTTCTAAGAAACTTCTTTGTGATGTGTGCTTTCATCTCACAGAATTGAAACTTTCTTTTGATTGAGGAGTTTGGAAACACTCTTTTTCTAGAATCTGCAAATGGATATTTGGAGAGCTTTTGAGGCCCATGGTGAAAAACGAAATATCTTCACATAAAAACTAAACAGAAGCATTCTGAGGAACTTCTTTGTGATGTGTGCATTCATCTCACATAGTTGAAACTTTCTTTGAATTGAGCAGTTTTGAAACACTCCTTTTGTAGAATCTGCCAAGGGATATTTCTGAGCCCATTGAGTACTATGATGCACTGTGAAGTATCTTCACATAAAAACTAGACAGAAGTTTTCTGAAAAACTACTTTTCGATGTGTCCATTAATCAAACAGAGTTAAAACTTTCTTTTTATTGAGCAGTTTGGATACAGTCTTTTTGTAGAATCTGCAAAAAATATTTGCGAGCCCTTTATTGCCTATGGTGAAATAGGAATCTTCTTCACATATAAACTAGACAGAAGCTTACTGAGAAACTTCTTTGAGATGTGTGCTTTCACCTCACAGAGTTAAACACTTTCTTTTGATTGAGCTGTTTGGAAACACTCTTTTTGTGAAATCTGTAAATGGATATTAGGAGTGCTTTGAGGCCAATTGTGACAAAGGAAATATCTTCACATAAAAACTAAACAGAAGAATTCTGAGAAACTTCATTCTGATGTGTGCATTAACCTCACAGAATGTAACCTTTCTTTTGATTGAGAAGTATGGAAACGGTCGTCTTTTAGAATCTGGAAAGGGATATTTCTTAGCCCTTTGAGGCCTACGGTGAAACTGGAAATATCTTCACATGAAAAGTAGACCGAAGCATTCTGAGGAACCTCTTTGTGATGTCTCCATTCATTTGACAGAGTTGAATGCTTCTTTTAATTCAGAAGTTCGGCAACCATATTTTTGTAGAATCTGCAAAGGGATATTTGTGAGACATTTGAAGCCTATAGTGAAATAGTAAATATCTTCACATAAAAACTAGACAGAAGCTTTCTGAGCAACTTCTTTGTGATGTGTGCATTCATCTCACAGTGTTGAAACTTTATTTTATTTGAGCAGTTTAGAGACAGTCTATTTCTGCAATCTGCAAAGGCATATTTCTGAGCCATTTGAGGTCTGTGGTGAAAGAGAAATATCTTCACATTTAAACTAGACAGAAGAAGTCTGAGAAAATTCTTTGTGATGTGTGCATTCACCTCAGAGAGGTGAACTTTTCTTTTGATGGAGCAGTTTGGAAACAGTCTTTTTATAGTATCTGCAGAAGGATATTTGTGAGCAGTTTAAGGCCTGTGGTGAAAAAGGAAATATCTTCACATAAAAACTAGACAGAAGATTTCTGAGAAACTTTTTTGTGATGGGTGCTTTCATCTCACAGAGTTGAAAATTTCTTTTGATTGAGCAGTTTGGAAACAGTCTTTTCGTATCATCTGCAAAGGGATGTGTGGAGCGCTTTGTGGCCTAAGGTGAAAATGGAAATATCTTCACATAAAATCTAGACAGAAGCATTCTGAGAAACTTCTTTGTGATGTGTTCATTCATCTCACAATGTTGAACGTTTCTTTTGATTGAGAGGTTTGTAAACAGAACTTTTGTAGAATCTGCAAAGGGATATTTGTGAGCCCCTTGATTCCTATGGCAAAATAGGAATTCTCTTGAGATAAAAACTAGACAGAAGAATTCGGAGAAACTTCTCTTTGATGAGTGCATTCATTTCACATAGTTGAAACATGCTATATGGGCCAGTTTGGAAACAGTCTTTTTGTAGTGTCTGCAGACAGATATTTTTGAGTGGCTTAAAGACTGTGGTGAAAAAAGAAATATCTTCACAGAGTAACCAGACAGAAGCTTTCTGAGAAACTACTTTGTGATGTGTGCTTTCGTCTCACAGAGTTGAGCCTTTCTGTTGATTGACCAGTTTGGAAACATTCTTTCTGTAGAATCCGCAAATGGATATTTGGAGCAATTTGCGGCCTACGGTGAAGAAGGAAATATCTTCACATAAAAACTAGACAGAAGCATTTTGAGAAACTTCTTTTTGATGTGTGTATTCATCTCACAGAGTTGAACGTTTCTTTTGATTTAGCAATTTGGAGAAAGTCTCTTGGTAGTATAAGCGGAGTTATGTTTGTGAGTGGTTTAAGGCCTACGGTGCCAAAGGAAATACCTTCACATAAAATGCAGACAGAAGGTTTTTGAGAAAACTCTTTGTGACATTTCCATTCATCTCTAATAGTTGACCATTTCTTCTCATTGAGCAGTTTGGAAACAGTCTTTTCCTACAAACTGCAAAGGGACATTTCTGAGCCGTTTGGGGCCAATGGTGAAAAATAAATATCTTCACATGAAAACTAGACAGAAGGTTTCTGACAAATTTCTTTCTGATGTGCACGTTTGTCACACGGAACTGAACCTTTCTTCTGATTGAGCAGTTTGGAATCAGTCTTTTTGTAGAATCTGTGAATGCATATTTAGAGAGTTTTAAGGCCTAGAGTGAAAATGGAAACGTCTTCACATAAAAACGACACAGTAGCTTTCTAAGAAACTTCTTTGTGATGTGTCCATTCACCTCACAGAGTTAAACCTTTCTTTTGATTGAGGAGTTTGGAAAATGTCTTTTCTTAGAATCTACAAAGGGATATTTGTGAGCCCTTTATGGCCTATGTTGAAATATGAAATATCTTCACATAAAAAATAGACAGAAGATTTCTGAGAAACTTCTTTGTGATGTGTGAATTCATGTCACAGAATTCAACCTTTCTTTCGATTGAGCAGTTTGGAAACAGTCTTTTGTAGAAGGTGCAAAGGGAAATTTCTTAGCTGATTCAGGCCTATGGTGAAAAAGAAATAACTTCACATAAAAACCAGACAGAAGATTTCTGAGAAACTTCTTTGTGATGTGTGTCTTCATCTCCCTGTGTTGAACCTTTCTTTTGATTGAGCAGTTTGGGAAGTCTTTGTGTAGAATCTGCAAATGGATATTTGGAGATATTTGAGGCCCTTGGTGAAAAAGCAAGTATCTTCACATAAAAACTAGACAGAATCATTCCAAGAAATTGTTTGTGATGTGTCCATTCACGTCACAGAGTTGAACCTTTCTTTTGATTGAGCAGTTTGGAAACACTCTTTTTGTAGAACCTGCAAAGGGATTTTTGTGAGCGCCTTATGGCCTGTGGTGAAATACGAAATATCTTCACATAAAAACTAGACAGGAGCTTTCTGAGAAACTCCCTTGTGATGTGTGCATTCACCTCACAGAGTTGAAACTTTCTTTTGATTGAGCAGATTGGAAAGAGGCTTATTGTACAATCTGCAAAGGGAGAATTCTGATGCGTTTGAGGCTTATGGTGAAAGAGAAACATATTCCCATAAAAACTAGACGGAAGCTTTCTAAGAAACTTCGGTGTGATGTGTGTTTTCATCTCACGGAATTGAAACTTTCTTTTGATTGAGGAGTTTGGAAACACTCTTTTTCTAGAATCTGCAAATGGATATTTGGAGAGCTTCTGAGGCCCATGTTGAAAAACGAAACATCTACACGTAAAAACTAAACAGAAGCATTCTGAGGAACTTCTTTGTGATGTGTGCATTCATCACACATAGTTGAAACTTTCTTTGGATTGAGCAGTTTTGAAACAGTCCTTTTGTAGAATCTGCCAAGGGATATTTCTGAGCCCATTGAGTACTATGATGCACTGTGAAGTATCTTCACATAAAAACTAGACAGAAGTTTTCTGAGAAACTACTTTTCGATGTGTCCGTTAATCTAACAGAGTTAAAACTTTCTTTTTATTGAGCAGTTTGGACACAGTCTTTTTGTAGAATCTGCAAAACATATTTGTGAGCCCTTTATTGCCTATGGTGAAATAGGAATCTTCTTCACATATAAACTAGACAGAAGCTTTCTGAGAAACTTCATTGAGATGTGTGCTTTCACCTCACAGAGTTAAACACTTTCTTTTGATTGAGCTGTTTGGAAACACTCTTTTTGTGAAATCTGTAAATGGATATTAGGAGTGCTTTGAGGCCAATGGTGACAAAGGAAATATCTTCTCATAAAAACTAAACAGAAGAATTCTGAGAAACTTCATTCTGATGTGCGCATTAACCTCAGAGAATTTAACCTTTCTTTTGATTGACAAGTATGGAAACGGTCGTCTTTTAGAATCTGGAAAGGGATATTTCTTAGCCCTTTGAGGCCTACGGTGAAACTGGAAATATCTTCACAGGAAAAGTAGACCGAAGAATTCTGAGGAACTTCTTTGTGATGTCTCCATTCATCTGACAGAGTTGAAGGTTTCTTTTAATTCAGCACTTTGGAAACCATATTTTTGTAGAATCTGCAAAGGGATATTTTTGAGACATTTGAAGCCTATAGTGAAATAGTAAATATCTTCACATAAAAACTAGACAGGAGCTTTCTGAGAAACTTCTTTGTGATGTGTGCATTCATCTCACAGTGTTGAAACTTTATTTTATTTGAGCAGTTTGGAGACAGTCTTTTTCTGCAATCTGCAAAGGCATATTTCTGAGCCATTTGAGGTCTGTGGTGAAAGAGAAATATCTTCACATTTAAACTAGACAGAAGGATTCTGAGAAACTTCTTTATGATGTGTGCATTCATCTCAGGTAGGTGAAATTTTCTTTTGATGGAGCAGTTTGGAAACAGTCTTTTTCTAGTATCTGCAGAAGGATATTTGTGAGCGGTGTGAGGACTATGCTGAAAAAGGAAATATCTTCACATAAAAACTAGACAGAAGATTTCTGAGAAACTTTTTTGTGATGTGTGCTCTCATCTCACAGAGTTGAAAATTTCTTTTGATTGAGCAGTTTGGAAACAGTCCTTTCGTATCATCTGCAAACGGATGTTTGGAGCGCTTTGTGGCCTAAGGTGAAAATGGAAACATCTTCACATAAAAACTAGACAGAAGCATTCTGAGAAACTTCTTTGTGATGTGTGCATTCATCTTACAATGTTGAACGTTTCTTTTGATTGAGCAGTTTGGAAACAGAACTTTTGTAGAATCTGCAAAGGGATATTTGTGAGCCCATTGATTCCTATGGTGAAATAGGAATTATCTTGAAATAAAAAAAAGGCAGAAGAATTCGGAGAAACTTCTCTTTGATGAGTGCATTCAATTCACATAGTTGTAACATGCTATATGGGCCAGTTTGGAAACAGTCTTTTTGTAGTGTCTGCAGACAGATATTTTTGAGTGGCTTAAAGCCTGTGGTGAAAAAAGAAATATCTTCACAGAGTAACCAGACAGAAGCTTTCTGAGAAACTCCTTTGTGATGTGTGCTTTCGTCTCACAGAGTTGAGCCTTTCTGTTGATTGACCAGTTTGGAAACATTCTTTCTGTAGAATCCGCAAATGGATATTTGGAGCAATTTGCGGCCTACTGTGAAGAAGGAAATATCTTCACATAAAAACTAGACAGAAGCATTTTGAGAAACTTCTTTTTGATGTGTGTATTCATCTCACAGAGTTGAACGTTTCTTTTGATTTAGCAATTTGGAGAAAGTCTCTTGGTAGTATAAGCGGAGTTATGTTTGTGAGTGGTTTAAGGCCTACGGTGCCAAAGGAAATACCTTCACATAAAATGTAGACAGAAGCTTTTTGAGAAAACTCTTTGTGACATTTCCATTCATCGCTAATAGTTGACCATTTCTTTTCATTGAGCAGTTTGGAAACAGTCTTTTCCTACAAACTGCAAAGGGATATTTCTGAGCCGTTTGGGGCCAATGGTGAAAAATAAATATCTTCACATGAAAACTAGACAGAAGCTTTCTGAGAAACTCCTCTGTGTTGTGCACGTTTGTATCACAGAGTTGAACCTTTCATTTGATTGAGCAGTTTGGAAACAGTCTTTTTGTAGAATCTGCAAATGTATATTTGGAGTGTTTTAAGGCCTATAGTGAAAAAGGAAATATCTTCACATAAAAACTACACAGTAGCTTTCTGAGAAACTTCTTTGTGATGTGTCCATTCATTGCACAGAGTGAAACCTTTCTTTTGATTGAGGAGTTTGGAAAATGTCTTTTCTTAGAATCTGCAAAGGGATATTCGTGAGCCCTTTATGGCCTTTGTTGAAATATGAAATATCTTCACATAAAAAGTAGACAGAAGATTTCTGAAAAACCTCTTTGTGATGTGTGAATTCATGTCACAGAATTCAACCTTCCTTTCAGTTGAGCAGTTTGGAACCAGTCTTTTGTAGAAGCTGCAGAGGGAAATTTCTTAGCTGCTCGAGGCCTATGGTGAACAAGAAATAGCCTCACATAAAAAGTAGACAGAAGATTTCTGAGAAACTTCTTTGTGATGTGTGCCTTCATCTCACTGTGTTGAACCTTTCTTTTGATTGAGCAGTTTGGGAAGTCTTTCTGTAGAATCTGCAAATGGATATTTGGGGATATTTGAGGCCCTTGGTGAAAAAGGAAGTATCTTCACATAAAAACTAGACAGAATCATTCCAAGAAATTTTCTGCGATGTGTCCATTCACGTCACAGAGTTGAACCTTTCTTTTGATTGAGCAGTTTGGAAACAGTCTTTTTGTAGAACCTGCAAAGGGATATTTGTGAGCCCCTTATGGCCTGTGGTGAAATACGAAATATCTTCACATAAAAACTAGACAGGAGGTTTCTGAGAAACTCTCTTGTGATGTGTGCATTCACCTCACAGAGTTGAAACTTTCTTTTGATTGAGCAGATTGGAAAGAGTCTTATTGTACAATCTGCAAAGGGAGAATTCTGATCCGTTTGAGGCTTATGGTGAAAGAGAAACATATTCCCATAAAAACTAGACGGAAGCTTTCTAAGAAACTTCGTTGTGATGTGTGCTTTCATCTCACGGAATTGAAACTTTCTTTGCATTGAGGAGTTTGGAAACACTCTTTTTCTAGAATCTGCAAATGGATATTTGGAGAGCTTCTGAGGCCCATGTTGAAAAACGAAACATCTTCACGTAAAAACTAAACAGAAGCATTCTGAGGAACTTCTTTGTGATGTGTGCATTCATCTCACATAGTTGAAACTTTCTTTGTATTGAGCAGTTTTGAAACAGTCCTTTTGTAGAATCTGCCAAGGGATATTTCTGAGCCCATTGAGTACTATGATGCACTGTGAAGTATCTTCACATAAAAACTAGACAGAAGATTTCTGAGAAACTACCTTTCGATGTGTCCATTAATCTAACAGAGTTAAAACTTTCTTTTCATTGAGCAGTTTGGATACAGTCTTTTTGTAGAATCTGCAAAAAATATTTGCGAGCCCTTTATTGCCTATGGTGAAATAGGAATCTTCTTCACATATAAACTAGACAGAAGCTTTCTGAGAAACTTCTTGGAGATGTGTGCTTTCACCTCACAGAGTTAAACACTTTCTTTTGATTGAGCTGTTTGGAAACACTCTTTTTGTGAAATCTGTAAATGGATATTAGCAGGGCTTTGAGGCCAATGGTGACAAAGGAAATATCTTCACATAAAAACTAAACAGAAGAATTCTGAGAAACTTCATTCTGACGTGGGCATTAACCTCAGAGAATTTAACCTTTCTTTTGATTGAGAAGTATGGAAACGGTCGTCTTTTAGAATCTGGAAAGGGATATTTCTTAGCCCTTTGAGGCCTCCGGTGAAACTGGAAATATCTTCACATGAAAAGTAGACCGAAGCATTCTGAGGAACTTCTTTGTGATGTCTCCATTCATCTGACAGAGTTGAAAGTTTCTTTTAATTCAGCACTTTGGAAACCATATTTTTGTAGAATCTGCAAAGGGATATTTTTGAGACATTTGAAGCCTATAGTGAAATACTAAATATCTTCACATAAAAACTAGACAGGAGCTTTCTGAGAAACTTCTTTGTGATGTGCGCATTCATCTCACAGTGTTGAGACTTTATTTTATTTGAGCAGTTTAGAGACAGTCTTTTTTTGCAATCTGCAAAGGTATATTTCTGAGCCATTTGAGGTCTATGGTGAAAAAGAAATATCTTCACATTGAAACTAGACAGAAGAATTCTGAGAAACTTCTTTCTGATGTGTGCATTCACCTCAGAGAGGTGAACTTTTCTTTTGATGGAGCAGTTTGGAAACAGTCTTTTTATAGTATCTGCAGAAGGATATTTGTGAGCGGTTTAAGGCCTATGGTGGAAAAGGAAATATCTTCACATAAAAACTAGACAGAAGATTTCTGAGAAACTTTTTTGTGATGTGTGCTTTCATCTCACAGAGTTGAAAATTTCTTTTGATTGAGCAGTTTGGAAACAGTCTTTTCATATAATCTGCAAATGGATATTTGGAGCACTTTGTGGCCTAAGTTGAAAATGGAAATATCTTCACATAAAAACTAGACAGAAGTATTCTGAGAAACTTCTTTGTGATGTGTTCATTCATCTCACAATGTTGAACGTTTCTTTTGATTGAGAGGTTTGTAAACACAACTTTTGTAGAATCTGCAAAGGGATATTTGTGAGCCCCTTGATTCCTATGGCAAAATAGGAATTATCTTGAGATAAAAACTAGACAGAAGAATCCTGAGAAACTTCTTTTTGATGAGTGCATTCATTTCACATAGTTGAAACATGCTATATGGGCCAGTTTGGAAACAGTCTTTTTGCAGAGTCTGCAGTCAGGTATTTTAGAGTGGCTTAAAGACTATGGTGAAAAAGGAAACATCTTCACATAGCAACCAGACAGAAGCTGTCTGAGAAACTTCTTTGTGATGTGTGCTTTCGTCTCACAGAGTTGAGCCTTTCTGTTGATTGACCAGTTTGGAAACATTCTTTCTGTAGAATCCGTAAATGGATATTTGGAGCAATTTGTGGCCTACGGTGAAGAAGGAAATATCTTCACATAAAAACTAGACAGAAGCATTTTGAGAAACTTATTTTTGATGTGTGTATTCATCTCACAGAGTTCAACGTTTCTTTTGATTTAGCAATTTGGAGAAAGTCTCTTGGTAGTATAAGCGGAGTTATGTTTGTGAGTGGTTTAAGGCCTACGGTGCCAAAGGAAATACCTTCACATAAAATGTAGACAGAAGCTTTTTGAGAAAACTCTTTGTGACATGTCCATTCATCTCTAATAGTTGACCATTTCTTCTCATTGAGCAGTTTGGAAACAGTCTTTTCCTACAAACTGCAAAGGGATATTTCTGAGCCGTTTGGGGCCAATGGTGAAAAATAAATATCTTCACATGAAAACTAGACAGAAGCTTTCTGACAAATTTCTTTGTGATGTGCACGTTTGTCACACGGAATTGAACATTTCTTCTGATTGCGCAGTTTGGAATCAGTCTTTTTGTAGAATCTATGAATGTATATTTAGAGAGTTTTAAGGCCTAGAGTGAAAAAGGAAACGTCTTCACATAAAAACGACGCAGTAGCTTTCTAAGAAACTTCTTTGTGATGTGTCCATTCATCTCACAGAGTTAAACCTTTCTTTTGATTGAGGAGTTTGGAAAATGTCTTTTCTTAGAATCTACAAAGGGATATTTGTGAGCCCTTTATGGCCTATGTTGAAATATGAAATATCTTCACATAAAAACTAGACAGAAGATTTCTGAGAAACCTCTTTGTGATGTGTGAATTCATGTCACAGATTTCAACCTTCCTTTCAGTTGAGCAGTTTGGAACCAGTCTTTTGTAGAAGCTGCAGAGGGAAATTTCTTAGCTGCTTGAGGCCTATGGTGAACAAGAAATAGCCTCACATAAAAAGTAGACAGAAGATTTCTGAGAAACTTCTTTGTGATGTGTGCCTTCATCTCACTGTGTTGAACCTTTCTTTTGATTGAGCAGTTTGGGAAGTCTTTCTGTAGAATCTGCAAATTGATATTTGGAGATATTTGAGGCCCTTGGTGAAAAAGGAAGTATCTTCACATAAAAACTAGACAGAATCATTCCAAGAAATTTTTTGTGATGTGTCCATTCACGTCACAGAGTTGAACCTTTCTTTTGATTGAGCAGTTTGGAAACAGTCTTTTTGTAGAACCTGCAAAGGGATATTTGTGAGCCCCTTATGGCCTGTGGTGAAATACGAAATATCTTCACATAAAAACTAGACAGGAGCTTTCTGAGAAACTCCCTTGTGATGTGTGCATTCACCTCACAGAGTTGAAACTTTCTTTTGATTGAACAGATTGGAAAGAGGCTTATTGTACAATCTGCAAAGGGAGAATTCTGATCCGTTTGAGGCTTCTGGTGAAAGTGAAATATCTTCCCATAAAAACTAGACGGAAGCTTTCTAAGAAACTTCGGTGTGATGTGTGCTTTCATCTCACGGAATTGAAACTTTCTTTTGATTGAGGAGTTTGGAAACACTCTTTTTCTAGAATCTGCAAATGGATATTTGGAGAGCTCCTGAGGCCCATGTTGAAAAACGAAACATCTTCACGTAAAAACTAAACAGAAGCATTCTGAGGAACTTCTTTGTGATGTGTGCATTCATCTCACATAGTTGAAACTTTCTTTGGATTGAGCAGTTTTGAAACAGTCCTATTGTAGAATCTGCCAAGGGATATTTCTGAGCCCATTGAGTACTATGCTGCAATGTGAAGTATCTTCACATAAAAACTAGACAGAAGTTTTCTGAGAAACTACTTTTCGATGTGTCCGTTAATCTAACAGAGTTAAAACTTTCTTTTTTTTGAGCAGTTTGGACACAGTCTTTTTGTAGAATCTGCAAAAAATATTTGTGAGCCCTTTATTGCCTATGGTGAAATAGGAATCTTCTTCACATATAAACTAGACAGAAGCTTTCTGAGAAACTTCATTGAGATGTGTGCTTTCACCTCACAGAGTTAAACACTTTCTTTTGATTGAGCTGTTTGGAAACACTCTTTTTGTGAAACTGTAAATGGATATTAGGAGTGCTTTGAGGCCAGTGGTGAAAAAGGAAATATCTTCTCATAAAAACTAAAGAGAAGAATTCTGAGAAACTTCATTCTGACGTGGGCATTAACCTCAGAGAATTTAACCATTCTTTTGATTGAGAAGTATGGAAACGGTCGTCTTTTAGAATCTGCAAAGGGATATTTCTTAGCCCTTTGAGGCCTACGGTGAAACTGGAAATATCTTCACATGAAAAGTAGACCGAAGCATTCCGAGGAACTTCTTTGTGATGTCTCCATTCATCTGACAGAGTTGAAGGTTTCTTTTAATTCAGCACTGTGGAAACCGTATTTTTGTAGAATCTGCAAAGGGATATTTTTGAGACCTTTGAAGCCTATAGTGAAATAGTAAATATCTTCACATAGAAACTAGACAGGAGCTTTCTGAGAAACTTCTTTGTGATGTGTGCATTCATCTCACAGTGTTGAAACTTTATTTTATTTGAGCAGTTTAGAGACAGTCTTTTTCTGCAATCTGCAATGGCATATTTCTGAGCCATTTGAGGTCTGTGGTGAAAGAGAAATATCTTCACATTTAAACTAGACAGAAGAATTCTGAGAAACTTCTTTGTGATGAGTCCATTCATCTCACAGAGTTGAAACATTCTTTGATGGACCAGTTTGGAAACAGTCTTTTTGTAGTATCTGCAGAAGGATATTTTTGAGTGGTTTAAAGACTATGGTGAAAAAGAAAATATCTTCACATAATAACTAGACAGAAGATATCTGAGAAACTTTTTTGTGATGGGTGCTTTCATCTCACAGAGTTGTAAATTTCTTTTGATTGAGCAGTTTGGAAACAGTCTTTTCGTATCATCTGCAAAGGGATGTTTGGAGCGCTTTGTGGCCTAAGGTGAAAATGGAAATATCCTCACATAAAATCTAGACAGAAGCATTCTGAGAAACTTCTTTGTGATGTGTTCATTCATCTCACAATGTTGAACGTTTCTTTTGATTGAGAGGTTTGTAAACAGAACTTTTGTAGAATCCGCAAAGGGATATTTGTGAGCCCCTTGATTCTTATGGCAAAATAGGAATAATCTTGAGATAAAAACTAGACAGAAGAATTCTAAGAAACTTCTCTTTGATGAGTGCATTCCTTTCACATAGTTGAAACATGCTATATGGGCCAGTTTGGAAACAGTCTTTTTGTAGTGTCTGCAGACAGATATTTTTGAGTGGCTTAAAGACTGTGGTGAAAAAAGAAATATCTTCACAGAGTAACCAGACAGAAGCTTTCTGAGAAACTTCTTTGTGATGTGTGCTTTCGTCTCACAGAGTTGAGCCTTTCTGTTGATTGACCAGTTTGGAAACATTCTTTTTGTAGAATCCGCAAATGGATATCTGGAACAATTTGCGGCCTACGGTGAAGAAGGAAATATCTTCACATAAAAACTAGACAGAAGCATTTTGAGAAACTTCTTTTTGATGTGTGTATTCATCTCACAGAGTTGAACGTTTCTTTTGATTTAGCAATTTGGAGAAAGTCTCTTGGTAGTATAAGCGGAGTTATGTTTGTGAGTGGTTTATGGCCTACGGTGCCAAAGGAAATACCTTCACAAAAAATGTAGACAGAAGCTTTTTGAGAAAACTCTTTGTGACATTTCCATTCATCTCTAATAGTTGACCATTTCTTCTCATTGAGCAGTTTGGAAACAGTCTTTTCCTACAAACTGCAAAGGGATATTTCTGAGCCGTTTGGGGCCAATGGTGAAAAATAAATATCTTCACATGAAAACTAGACAGAAGCTTTCTGACAAATTTCTTTGTGATGTGCACGTTTGTCACACGGAATTGAACCTTTCTTCTGATTGAGCAGTTTGGAATCAGTCTTTTTGTAGAATCTGTGAATGTATATTTAGAGAGTTTTAAGGCCTAGAGTGAAAAAGGAAACGGTCTTCACATAAAAACGACACAGTAGCTTTCTGAGAAACTTCTTTGTGATGTGTCCATTCATCGCACAGAGTGGAACCTTTCTTTTGATTGAGGATTTTGGAAAATGTCATTTCTTAGAATCTGCAAAGGGATATTTGTGAGCCCTTTATGGCCTTTGTTGAAATATGAAATATCTTCACATAAAAAGTAGACAGAAGATTTCTGAGAAACCTCTTTGTGATGTGTGAATTCATGTCACAGAATTCAACCTTCCTTTCAGTTGAGCAGTTTGGAACCAGTCTTTTGTAGAAGCTGCAGAGGGAAATTTCTTAGCTGCTTGAGGCCTATGGTGAACAAGAAATAGCCTCACATAAAAAGTAGACAGAAGATTTCTGAAAAACTTCTTTGTGATGTGTGAATTCATGTCACAGAGTTGAAGCTTTCTTGTGATTGAGTAGTTTGGAAACACTCTTTTTGTAGAATCTGCAAAGGGTTATTTATGAGCGGTTTGAGGCCTATGGTGAAAAAGGGAGTATCAGCAAATAAAAACTAGACAGAATCATTCCGAGAAATTTTTTGTGATGTGTCCATTCACGTCACAGAGTTGAACCTTTCTTTTGATTGAGCAGTTTGGAAACAGTCTTTTTGTAGAACCTGCAAAGGGATATTTGTGAGCCCCTTATGGCCTGTGGTGAAATACGAAGTATCTTCACACAAAAACTAGACAGGAGCTTTCTGAGAAACTCCCTTGTGATGTGTGCATTCACCTCACAGAGTTGAAACTTTCTTTTGATTGAGCAGATTGGAAAGAGGCTTATTGTACAATCTGCAAAGGGAGAATTCTGATCCGTTTGAGGCTAATGGTGAAAGAGAAACATCTTCCCATAAAAACTAGACGGAAGCTTTCTAAGAAACTTCGGAGTGATGTGTGCTTTCATCTCACACAATTGAAACTTTCTTTTGACTGAGGAGTTTGGAAACACTCTTTTTCTAGAATCTGCAAGTGGATATTTGGAGAGCTTTTGAGGCCCATGTTGAAAAACGAAACATCTTCATGTAAAAACTAAACAGAAGCACTCTGAGAAACTTCTTTGTGATGTGTGCATTCATCTCACATAGTTGAAACTGTCTTTGGATTGAGTAGTTTGGAAACAGTCCTCTTGTAGAATCTGCAAAGGGATATTTCTGAGCCCATTGAGTACTATGGTGCAATGTGAAATATCTTCACATAAAAACTAGACAGAAGTTTTCTGAGAAATTACCTTTCAATGTGTCCATTAGTCAAACAGAGTTAAAACTTTGTTTTTATTGAGCAGTTTGGATACAGTCTTTTTGTAGAATCTGCAAAAAATATTTGCGAGCCCTTTATTGCCTATGGTGAAATAGGAATCTTCTTCACATATAAACTAGACAGAAGCTTTCTGAGAAACTCCATTGAGATGTGTGCTTTCACCTCACAGAGTTAAACACTTTCTTTTGATTGAGCTGTTTGGAAACACTCTTTTTGTGAAATCTGTAAATGGATATTAGGAGTGCTTTGAGGCCAATGGTGGAAAAGGAAATATCTTCTCATAAAAACTAAACAGAAGAATTCTGAGAAACTTCATTCTGACGTGGGCATTAACCTCAGAGAATTTAACCTTTCTTTGGATTGAGAAGTATGGAAACGGTCGTCTTTTAGAATCTGGAAAGGGATATTTCTTAGCCCTTTGAGGCCTACGGTGAAACTGGAAATATCTTCACATGAAAAGTAGACCGAAGCATTCCGAGGAACTTCTTTGTGATGTCTCTGTTCATCTGACAGAGTTGAAGGTTTCTTTTAATTCAGCACTGTGGAAACCGTATTTTTGTAGAATCTGCAAAGGGATATTTTTGAGACCTTTGAAGCCTATATTGAAATAGTAAATATCTTCACATAGAAACTAGACAGGAGCTTTCTGAGAAACTTCTTTGTGATGTGTGCATTCATCTCACAGTGTTGAAACTTTATTTTATTTGAGCAGTTTAGAGACAGTCTTTTTCTGCAAACTGCAAAGGCATATTTCTGAGCCATTTGAGGTCTGCGGTGAAAGAGAAATATCTTCACATTTAAACTAGACAGAAGAATTCTGAGAAACTTCTTTATGATGTGTGCATTCATCTCAGGTAGGTGAAATTTTCTTTTGATGGAGCAGTTTGGAAACAGTCTTTTTCTAGTATCTGCAGAAGGATATTTGTGAGCGGTGTAAGGACTACGCTGAAAAAGGAAATATCTTCACAAAAAAACTAGACAGAAGATTTCTGAGAAACTTTTTTGTGATGGGTGCTTTCATCTCACAGAGTTGAAAATTTCTTTTGATTGAGCAGTTTGGACACAGTCTTTTCGTATCATCTGCAAAGGGATGTTTGGAGCGCTTTGTGGCCTAAGGTGAAAATGGAAATATCTTCACATAAAATCTAGACAGAAGCATTCTGAGAAACTTCTTTGTGATGTGTTCATTCGTCTCACAATGTTGAACGTTTCTTTTGATTGAGAGGTTTGTAAACAGAACTTTTGTAGGATATGCAAAGGGATATTTGTGAGCCCCTTGATTCCTATGGCAAAATAGGAATTATCTTGAGATAAAAACTAGACAGAAGAATTCTGAGGAACTTCTCTTTGATGAGTGCATTCATTTCACATAGTTGAAACATGCTATATGGGCCAGTTTGGAAACAGTCTTTTTGTAGTGTCTGCAGACAGATATTTTTGAGTGGCTTAAAGACTGTGGTGAAAAAAGAAATATCTTCACAGAGTAACCAGACAGAAGCTTTCTGAGAAACTTCTTTGTGATGTGTGCTTTCGTCTCACAGAGTTGAGCCTTTCTGTTGATTGACCAGTTTGAAACATTCTTTCTGTAGAATCCGCAAATGGATATTTGGAGCAATTTGCGGCCTACGGTGAAGAAGGAAATATCTTCACATAAAAACTAGACAGAAGCATTTTGAGAAACTTCTTTTTGATGTGTGTATTCATCTCACAGAGTTGAACATTTCTTTTGATTTAGCAATTTGGAGAAAGTCTCTTGGTAGTATAAGCGGAGTTATGTTTGTGAGTGGTTTAAGGCCTACGGTGCCAAAGGAAATACCTTCACATAAAATGCAGACAGAAGCTTTTTGAGAAAACTCTTTGTGACATTTCCATTCATCTCTAATAGTTGACCATTTCTTTTCATTGAGCAGTTTGGAAACAGTCTTTTCCTACAAACTGCAAAGGGATATTTCTGAGCCGTTTGGGGCCAATGGTGAAAAATAAATATCTTCACATGAAAACTAGACAGAAGCTTTCTGACAAATTTCTTTGTGATGTGCACGTTTGTCACACGGAATTGAACCTTTCTTCTGATTGAGCAGTTTGGAATCAGTCTTTTTGTAGAATCTGTGAATGTATATTTAGAGAGTTTTAAGGCCTAGAGTGAAAAAGGAAACGTCTTCACATAAAAACGACACAGTAGCTTTCTGAGAAACTTCTTTGTGATGTGTCCATTCATCGCACAGAGTGAAACCTTTCTTTTGATTGAGGAGCTTGGAAAATGTCTTTTCTTAGAATCTGCAAAGGGATATCTGTGAGCCCTTTATGGCCTTTGTTGAAATATGAAATATCTTCACATAAAAAGTAGACAGAAGATTTCTGAAAAACCTCTTTGTGATGTGTGAATTCATGTCACAGAATTCAACCTTTCTTTCAGTTGAGCAGTTTGGAACCAGTCTTTTGTAGAAGCTGCAGAGGGAAATTTCTTAGCTGCTTGAGGCCTATGGTGAACAAGAAATAGCCTCACATAAAAACTAGACAGAAGATTTCTGAGAAACTTCTTTGTGATGTGTGCCTTCATCTCACTGTGTTGAACCTTTCTTTTGTTTGAGCAGTTTGGGAAGTCTTTCTGTAGAATCTGCAAATGGATATTTGGAGATATTTGAGGCCCTTGGTGAAAAAGGAAGTATCTTCACATAAAACTAGACAGAATTATTCCGAGAAATTTTTTGTGATGTGTCCATTCACGTCACAGAGTTGAACTTTCTTTTGATTGAGCAGTTTGGAAACAGTCTTTGTATAGAACCTGCAAAGGGATATTTGTGAGCCCCTTATGGCCTGTGGTGAAATACGAAATATCTTCACACAAAAACTAGACAGGAGCTTTCTGAGAAACTCCCTTGTGATGTGTGCATTCACCTCACAGAGTTGAAACTTTCTTTTGATTGAGCAGATTGGAAAGAGGCTTATTGTACAAACTGCAAAGGGAGAATTCTGATCCGTTTGAGGCTTATGGTGAAAGAGAAACATCTTCCCATAAAAACTAGACGGAAGCTTTCTAAGAAACTTCGTTGTGATGTGTGCTTTCATCTCACAGAATTGAAACTTTCTTTTGATTGAGGAGTTTGGAAACACTCTTTTTCTAGAATCTGCAAATGGATATTTGGAGAGCTTTTGAGGCCCATGTTGAAAAACGAAACATCTTCACGTAAAAACTAAACAGAAGAATTCTGAGAGACTTCTTTGTAATGTGTGTATTTATCTTACAGTGTTAAACCTTTATTTTGATTGAGCTTTTTGGAAACACTCTTTTTGTAGCATCTGCAAGAGTTTATTTTTGAGCTCATTGAGACCTATTTTGAAATATGAAATATCTTCACATAAAAACTAGATAGAAGTTTTCTGAGAAACTACTTTTCGATGTGTCCATTAATCAAACAGAGTTAAAACTTTCTTTTTATTGAGCAGTTTGGATACAGTCTATTTGTAGAATCTGCAAAAAATATTTGCGAGCCCTTTATTGCCTATGGTGAAATAGGAATCTTCTTCACATATAAACCAGACAGAAGCTTTCTGAGAAACTCCATTGAGATGTGTGCTTTCACCTCACAGGAGTTAAACACTTTCTTTTGATTGAGCTGTTTGGAAACACTCTTTTTGTGAAATCTGTAAATGGATATTAGGAGTGCTTTGAGGCCAATGGTGGAAAAGGAAATATCTTCTCATAAAAACTAAACAGAAGAATTCTGAGAAACTTCATTCTGACGTGGGCATTAACCTCAGAGAATTTAACCTTTCTTTTGATTGAAAAGTATGGAAACGGTCGTCTTTTAGAATCTGGAAAGGGATATTTCTTAGCCCTTTGAGGCCTACGGTGAAACTGGAAATATCTTCACATGAAAAGTAGACCGAAGCATTCCGAGGAACTTCTTTGTGATGTCTCCATTCATCTGACAGAGTTGAAGGTTTCTTTTAATTCAGCACTGTGGAAACCGTATTTTTGTAGAATCTGCAAAGGGATATTTTTGGGACCTTTGAAGCCTATAGTGAAATAGTAAATATCTTCACATTGAAACTAGACAGGAGCTTTCTGAGAAACTTCTTTGTGATGTGCGCATTCATCTAACAGTGTTGAAACTTTATTTTGTTTGAGCAGTTTAGAAACAGTCTTTTTCTGCAATCTGCAAAGGCATATTTCTGAGCCATTTGAGGTCTATGGTGAAAAAAGAAATATCTTCACATTTAAAATAGACAGAAGAATTCTGAGAAACTTCTTTATGATGTGTGCATTCATCTCAGGTAGGCGAAATTTTCTTTTGATGGAGCAGTTTGGAAACAGTCTTTTTCTAGTATCTGCAGAAGGATATTTGTGAGCGGTGTAAGGACTATGGTGAAAAAGGGAATATCTTCACATAAAAACTAGACAGAAGATTTCTGAGAAACTTCTTTGTGATGTGTGCTTTCATCTCACAGAGTTGAAAATTTCTTTTGATTGAGCAGTTTGGAAACAGTCTTTTTGTATAATCTGCAAATGGATATTTGGAGCACTTTGTGGCCTAAGGTGAAAATGGAAATATCTTCACATAAAAACTAGACAGAAGCATTCTGAGAAACTTCTTTGTGATGTGTTCATTCATCTCACAATGTTGAACGTTTCTTTTGATTGAGAGGTTTGTAAACAGAACTTTTGTAGAATCTGCAAAGGGATATTTTTGAGCCCCGTGATTCCTATGGCAAAATAGGAATTATCTTGAGATAAAAACTAGACAGAAGAATTCTGAGAAACTTCTCTTTGATGAGTGCATTCCTTTCACATAGTTGAAACATGCTATATGGGCCAGTTTGGAAACAGTCTTTTTGTAGTGTCTGCAGACAGATATTTTTGAGTGGCTTAAAGACTGTGGTGAAAAAAGAAATATCTTCACAGAGTAACCAGACAGAAGCTTTCTGAGAAACTTCTTTGTGATGTGTGCTTTCGTCTCACAGAGTTGAGCCTTTCTGTTGATTGACCAGTTTGGAAACATTCTTTCTGTAGAATCCGCAAATGGATATTTGGAGCAATTTGCGGCCTACGGTGAAGAAGGAAATATCTTCAGATAAAAACTAGACAGAAGCATTTTGAGAAACTTCTTTTTGATGTGTGTATTCATCTCTCAGAGTTGAACGTTTCTTTTGATTTAGCAATTTGGAGAAAGTCTCTTGGTAGTATAAGCGGAGTTATGTTTGTGAGTGGTTTAAGGCCTACGGTGCCAAAGGAAATACCTTCACATAAAATGCAGACAGAAGCTTTTTGAGAAAACTCTTTGTGACATTTCCATTCATCTCTAATAGTTGAAAATTTCTTCTCATTGAGCAGTTTGGAAACAGTCTTTTCCTACAAACTGCAAAGGGATATTTCTGAGCCGTTTGGGGCCAATGGTGAAAAATAAATATCTTCACATGAAAACTAGACAGAAGCTTTCTGACAAATTTCTTTGTGATGTGCACGTTTGTCACACGAAATTGAACCTTTCTTCTGATTGAGCAGTTTGGAATCAGTCTTTTTGTAGAATCTGTGAATGTATATTTAGAGAGTTTTAAGGCCTAGAGTGAAAAAGGAAACGTCTTCACATAAAAACGACACAGTAGCTTTCTGAGAAACTTCTTTGTGATGTGTCCATTCATCGCACAGAGTGAAACCTTTCTTTTGATTGAGGAGTTTGGAAAATGTCTTTTCTTAGAATCTGCAAAGGGATATTTGTGAGCCCTTTATGGCCTTTGTTGAAATATGAAATATCTTCACGTAAAAAGTAGACAGAAGATTTCTGAGAAATCTCTTTGTGATGTGTGAATTCATGTCACAGAATTCAACCTTCCTTTCAGTTGAGCAGTTTGGAACCAGTCTTTTGTAGAAGCTGCAGAGGGAAATTTCTTAGCTGCTTGAGGCCTAAGGTGAACCAGAAATAGCCTCACATAAAAAGTAGACAGAAGATTTCTGAGAAACTTCTTTGTGATGTGTGCCTTCATCTCACTGTGTTGAACCTTTCTTTTGATTGAGCAGTTTGGGAAGTCTTTCTGTAGAATCTGTAAATGGATATTTGGAGATATTTGAGGCCCGTGGTGAAAAAGGAAGTATCTTCACATAAAAACTAGACAGAATCATTCCAAGAAATTGTTTGTGATGTGTCCATTCACGTCACAGAGTTGAACCTTTCTTTTGATTGAGCAGTTTGGCAACAGTCTTTTTGTGGAACCTGCAAAGGGATATTTGTGAGCCCCTTATGGCCTGTGGTGGAATACGAAATATCTTCACATAAAAACTAGACAGGAGCTTTCTGAGAAACTCCCTTTTGATGTGTGCATTCACCTCACAGAGTTGAAACTTTCTTTTGATTGAGGAGATTGGAAAGAGGCTTATTGTACAATCTGCAAAGGGAGAATTCTGATCCGTTTGAGGCTTCTGGTGAAAGAGAAACATCTTCCCATAAAAACTAGACGGAAGCTTTCTAAGAAACTTCGTTGTGATGTGTGCTTTCATCTCACGGAATTGAAACTTTCTTTTGATTGAGGAGTTTGGAAACACTCTTTTTCTAGAATCTGCAAATGGATATTTGGAGAGATCCTGAGGCCCATGTTGAAAAACGAAACATCTTCACATAAAAACTAAACAGAAGCATTCTGAGGAACTTCTTTGTGATGTGTGCATTCATCTCACATAGTTGAAACTTTCTTTGGATTGAGCAGTTTTGAAACAGTCCTTTTGTAGAATCTGCCAAGGGATATTTCTGAGCCCATTGAGTACTATGATGCACTGTGAAGTATCTTCACATAAAAGCTAGACAGAAGATTTCTGAGAAACTACCTTTCGATGTGTCCATTAATCTAACAGAGTTAAAACTTTCTTTTTATTGAGCAGTTTGGATACAGTCTTTTTGTAGAATCTGCAAAAAATATTTGCGAGCCCTTTATTGCCTATGGTGAAATAGGAATCTTCTTCACATATAAACTAGACAGAAGCTTTCGGAGAAACTTCTTTGAGATGTGTGCTTTCACCTCACAGAGTTAAACACTTTCTTTTGATTGAGCTGTTTGGAAACACTCTTTTTGTGAAATCTGTAAATGGATATTAGGAGTGCTTTGAGGCCAATGGTGACAAAGGAAATATCTTCACATAAAAACTACACAGAGAGAATTCTGAGAAACTTCATTCTGATGTGTGCATTCACCTCACAGAATTTAACCTTTCTTTTGATTGAGCAGTATGGAAATGTTCGTCTTTTAGAATTTGGAAAGGGATATTTCTTAGCCCTTTGAGGCCTATGGTGAAACTGGAAATATCTTCACATGAAAACTAGACCAAGCATTCCGGGGAACTTCTTTGTGATGTCTCCATTCATCTGACAGAGTTGAAGGTTTCTTTCAATTCAGCACTGTGGAAACCATATTTTTGTAGAATCTGCAAAGGGATATTTTTGGGACCTTTGAAGCCTATAGTGAAAGAGTAAATATCTTCACACAGAAACTAGACAGGAGCTTTCTGAGAAACTTCTTTGTGATGTGCGCATTCATCTCACAGTGTTGAAACTTTATTTTGTTTGAGCAGTTTAGAAACAGTCTTTTTCTGCAATCTGCAAAGGTATATTTCTGAGCCATTTGAGGTCTATGGTGAAAAAGAAATATCTTCACATTGAAACTAGACAGAAGAATTCTGAGAAACTTCTTTATGATGTGTGCATTCCTCTCAGGTAGGTGAAATTTTCTTTTGATGGAGCAGTTTGGAAACAGTCTTTTTCTAGTATCTGCAGAAGGATATTTGTGAGCGGTGTAAGGACTATGCTGAAAAAGGAAATATCTTCACATAAAAACTAGACAGAAGATTTCTGAGAAACTTTTTTGTGATGGTTGCTTTCATCTCACAGAGTTGAAAATTTCTTTTGATTGAGCAGTTTGGAAACAGTCTTTTCGTATCATCTGCAAAGGGATGTGTGGAGCGCTTTGTGGCCTAAGGTGAAAATGGAAATATCTTCACATAAAATCTAGACAGAAGCATTCTGAGAAACTTCTTTGTGATGTGTTCATTCGTCTCACAATGTTGAACGTTTCTTTTGATTGAGAGGTTTGTAAACAGAACTTTTGTAGGATCTGCAAAGGGATATTTGTGAGCCCCTTGATTCCTATGGCAAAATAGGAATTATCTTGAGATAAAAACTAGACAGGAGAATTCTGAGAAACTTCTCTTTGATGAGTGCATTCATTTCACATAGTTGAAACATGCTATATGGGCCAGTTTGGAAACCGTCTTTTTGTAGTGTCTGCAGACAGATATTTTTGAGTGGCTTAAAGACTGTGGTGAAAAAAGAAATATCTTCACAGAGTAACCAGAGAGAAGCTTTCTGAGAAACTTCTTTGTGATGTGTGCTTTCGTCTCACAGAGTTGAGCCTTTCTGTTGATTGACCAGTTTGGAAACATTCTTTCTGTAGAATACGCAAATGGATATTTGGAGCAATTTGCGGCCTACGGTGAAGAAGGAAATATCTTCACATAAAAACTAGACAGAAGCATTTTGAGAAACTTCTTTTTGATGTGTGTATTCATCTCACAGTGTTGAACGTTTCTTTTGATTTAGCAATTTGGAGAAAGTCTCTTGGTAGTATAAGCGGAGTTATGTTTGTGAGTGGTTTAAGGCCTACGGTGCCAAAGGAAATACCTTCACATAAAATGCAGACAGAAGCTTTTTGAGAAAACTCTTTGTGACATTTCCATTCATCTCTCATATTTGACCATTTCTTCTCATTGAGCAGTTTGGAAACAGTCTTTTCCTACAAACTGCAAAGGGACATTTCTGAGCCGTTTGGGGCCAATGGTGAAAAATAAATATCTTCACATGAAAACTAGACAGAAGCTTTCTGACAAATTTCTTTGTGATGTGCACGTTTGTCACACGGAATTGAACCCTTCTTCTGATTGAGCAGTTTGGAATCAGTCTTTTTGTAGAATCTGTGAATGTGTGTTTAGAGAGTTTTAAGGCCTAGGGTGCAAGAGGCAATGTCTTCACATAAAAACGATACAGTAGCTTTCTGAGAAACTTCTTTGTGATGTGTCCATTCATCGCACAGAGTGAAACCTTTCTTTTGATTGAGGAGTTTGGAAAATGTCTTTTCTTAGAATCTGCAAAGGGTTATTTGTGAGCCCTTTACGGCCTTTGTTGAAATATGAAATATCTTCACGTAAAAAGTAGACAGAAGATTTCTGAGAAACCTCTTTGTGATGTGTGAATTCATGTCACAGAATTCAACCTTCCTTTCAGTTGAACAGTTTGTAACCAGTCTTTTGTAGAAGCTGCAGAGGGAAATTTCTTAGCTGCTTGAGGCCTATGGTGAACAAGAAATAGCCTCACATAAAAACTAGACAGAAGGTTTCTGAGAAACTTCTTGGTGATGTGTGCCTTCATCTCACAGTGTTGAACCTTTCTTTTGATGGAGCAGTTTGGAAAGTCTTTCTGTAGAATCTGCAAATGGATATTTGGAGATATTTGAGGCTCGTGGTGAAAAAGGAAGTATCTTCACATAAAAACTAGACAGGATCGTTCCAAGAAATTTTCTGCGATGTGTCCATTCACGTCACAGAGTTGAACCTTTCTTTTGATTGAGCAGTTTGGAAACAGTCTTTTTGTAGAACCTGCAAAGGGATATTTGTGAGCCCCTTATGGCCTGTGGTGAAATACGAAATATCTTCACATAAAAACTAGACAGGAGCTTTCGGAGAAACTCCCTTGTGATGTGTGCATTCACCTTACAGAGTTGAAACTTTCTTTTGGTTGAGCAGATTGGAAAGAGGCTTATTGTACAATCTGCAAAGGGAGAATTCTGATCCTTTTGAGGCTTCTGGTGAAAGAGAAACATCTTCCCATTAAAACTAGACGGAAGCTTTCTAAGAAACTTCGGTGTGATGTGTGCTTTCATCTCACAGAATTGAAACTTTCTTTTGATTGAGGAGTTTGGAAACACTCTTTTTCTAGAATCTGCAAGTGGATATTTGGAGAGCTTTTGAGGCCCATGTTGAAAAACGAAACATCTTCACGTAAAAACTAAACAGAAGCATTCTGAGGAACTTCCTTGTGATGTGTGCATTCATCTCACATAGTTGAAACTTTCTTTGGATTGAGCAGTTTTGAAACAGTCCTTTTGTAGAATCTGCCAAGGGATATTTCTGAGCCCATTGAGTACTATGCTGCAATGTGAAGTATCTTCACATAAAAACTAGACAGAAGTTTTCTGAGAAACTACCTTTCGATGTGTCCATTAATCTAACAGAGTTAAAACTTTCTTTTTATTGAGCAGTTTGGATACAGTCTTTTTGTAGAATCTGCAAAAAATATTTGCGAGCCCTTTATTGCCTATGGTGAAATAGGAATCTTCTTCACATATAAACTAGACAGAAGCTTTCGGAAAAACTTCTTTGAGATGTGTGCTTTCACCTCACAGAGTTAAACACTTTCTTTTGATTGAGCTGTTTGGAAACACTCTTTTTGTGAAATCTGTAAATGGATATTAGGAGTGCTTTGAGGCCAATGGTGACAAAGGAAATATCTTCACATAAAAACTAAACAGAAGAATTCTGAGAAACTTCATTCTGACGTGGGCATTAACCTCAGAGAACTTAACCTTTCTTTTGATTGAGAAGTATGGAAACGGTCGTCTTTTAGAATCTGGAAAGGGATATTTCTTAGCCCTTTGAGGCCTACGGTGAAACTGGAAATATCTTCACATGAAAAGTAGACCGAAGCATTCCGGGGAACTTCTTTGTGATGTCTCCATTCATCTGACAGAGTTGAAGGTTTCTTTCAATTCAGCACTGTGGAAACCATATTTTTGTAGAATCTGCAAAGGGATATTTTTGGGACCTTTGAAGCCTATAGTGAAATAGTAAATATCTTCACACAGAAACTAGACAGGAGCTTTCTGAGAAACTTCTTTCTGATGTGTGCATTCATCTCACAGTGTTGAAACTTTATTTTGTTTGAGAAGTTTAGAAACAGTCTTTTTCTGCAATCTGCAAAGGTATATTTCTGAGCCATTTGAGGTCTATGGTGAAAAAGAAATATCTTCACATTTAAACTAGACAGAAGAATTCTGAGAAACTTCTTTATGATGTGTGCATTCATCTCAGGTAGGTGAAATTTTCTTTTGATGGAGCAGTTTGGAAACAGTCTTTTTCTAGTATCTGCAGAAGGATATTTGTGAGCGGTGTAAGGACTATGCTGAAAAAGGAAATATCTTCACATAAAAACTAGACAGAAGATTTCTGAGAAACTTTTTTGTGATGGGTGCTTTCATCTCACAGAGTTGAAAGTTTCTTTTGATTGAGCAGTTTGGAAACAGTCTTTTCGTATCATCTGCAAAGGGATGTTTGGAACGCTTTGTGGCCTAAGGTGAAAATGGAAATATCTTCACATAAAATCTAGACACAAGCATTCTGAGAAACTTCTTTGTGATGTGTGCATTCATCTCACAATGTTGAACGTTTCTTTTGATTGAGCAGCTTGGAAACAGAACTTTTGTAGAATCTGCAAAGGGATATTTGTGAGCACATTGATTCCTATGGCAAAATAGGAATTATCTTGAGATAAAAGCTAGACAGAAGGTTTCTAAGAAATACTTTTGTGAAGTGTGCTTTCATCTCACAGAATTGAACCTTTCTTTTCATTGAGCAGTTTGAAAACACTATTTTTGTAGAATCTGCAAGTGGATATATGGAGTGTTTTCAGGCCCATGGTGAAAAAGTAAATATCTTCACATTAAAACCAGACAGAAGTTTTCTGAGAAACTTCTTTGTGATGTGTGCTTTCGTCTCACAGAGTTGAGCCTTTCTGTTGATTGACCAGTTTGGAAACATTCTTTCTGTAGAATCCGCAAATGGATATTTGGAGCAATTTGCGGCCTACGGTGAAGAAGGAAATATCTTCACATAAAAACTAGACAGAAGCATTTTGAGAAACTTCTTTTTGATGTGTGTATTCATCTCTCAGAGTTGAACGTTTCTTTTGATTTAGCAATTTGGAGAAAGTCTCTTGGTAGTATAAGCGGAGTTATGTTTGTGAGTGGTTTAAGGCCTACGGTGCTAAAGGAAATACCTTCACATAAAATGCAGACAGAAGCTTTTTGAGAAAACTCTTTGTGACATGTCCATTCATCTCTAATTGTTGACCATTTCTTCTCATTGAGCAGTTTGGAAACAGTCTTTTCCTACAAACTGCAAAGGGACATTTCTGAGCCGTTTGGGGCCAATGGTGAAAAATAAATATCTTCACATGAAAACTAGACAGATGCTTTCTGACAAATTTCTTTGTGATGTGCACGTTTGTCACAAGGAATTGAACCTTTCTTCTGATTGAGCAGTTTGGAATCAGTCTTTTTGTAGAATCTGTGAATGTATATTTAGAGAGTTTTAAGGCCTAGAGTGAAAAAGGAAACGTCTTCACATAAAAACGACACAGTAGCTTTCTGAGAAATTTCTTTGTGATGTGTCCATTCATCGCACAGAGTGAAACATTTCTTTTGATTGAGGAGTTTGGAAAATGTCTTTTCTTAGAATCCGCAAAGGGATATTTGTGAGCCCTTTATGGCCTTTGTTGAAATATGAAATATCTTCACATAAAAAGTAGACAGAAGATTTCTGAGAAACCTCTTTGTGATGTGTGAATTCATGTCACAGAATTCAACCTTCCTTTCAGTTGAGCAGTTTGTAACCAGTCTTTTGTAGAAGCTGCAGAGGGAAATTTCTTAGCTGCTTGAGGCCTATGGTGAACAAGAAATAGCCTCACATAAACAGTAGACCGAAGATTTCTGAGAAACTTCTTTGTGATGTGTGCCTTCATCTCACTGTGTTGAACCTTTCTTTTGATTGAGCAGTTTGGGAAGTCTTTCTGTAGAATCTGCAAATGGATATTTGGAGATATTTGAGGCCCTTGGTGAAAAAGGAAGTATCTTCACATAAAAACTAGACAGAATGATTCCGAAAAATTTTTTGTGATGTGTCCATTCACGTCACAGAGTTGAACCTTTCTTTTGATTGAGCAGTTTGAAAACAGTCTTTTTGTAGAACCTGCAAAGGGATATTTGTGAGCCCCTTATGGCCTGTGGTGAAATACGAAATATCTTCACATAAAAACTAGACAGGAGCTTTCTGAGAAACTCCCTTGTGATGTGTGCATTCACCTCACAGAGTTGAAACTTTCTTTTGATTGAGCAGATTGGAAAGAGGCTCATTGTACAATCTGCAAAGGGAGAATTCTGATCCGTTTGAGGCTTATGGTGAAAGAGAAACATCTTCCCATAAAAACTAGACGGACGCTTTCTAAGAAACTTCGTTGTGATGTGTGCTTTCGTCTCACAGAATTGAAACTATCCTTTGATTGAGGAGTTTGGAAACACTCTTTTTCTAGAATATGCAAATGGATATTTGGAGAGCTTTTGAGGCCCGTGGTGAAAAACGAAATATCTTCACGTAAAAACTAAACAGAAGCATTCTGAAGAACTCCTTTGTGATGTGTGCATTCATCTCACATAGTTGAAACTTTCTTTGGATTGAGCAGTTTTGAAACAGTCCTTTTGTAGAATCTGCCAGGGGATATTTCTGAGCCCATTGAGTACTATGATGCACTGTGAAGTATCTTCACATAAAAACTAGACAGAAGTTTTCTGAGAAACTACTTTTCGATGTGTCCGTTAATCTAACAGAGTTAAAACTTTCTTTTTATTGAGCAGTTTGGACACAGTCTTTTTGTAGAATCTGCAAAACATATTTGTGAGCCCTTTATTGCCTATGGTGAAATAGGAATCATCTTCACATATAAACTAGACAGAAGCGTTCTGAGAAACTTCATTGAGATGTGTGCTTTCACCTCACAGAGTTAAACACTTTCTTTTGATTGAGCTGTTTGGAAACACTCTTTTTGTGAAATCTGTAAATGGATATTAGGAGTGCTTTGAGGCCAATGGTGACAAAGGAAATAACTTCTCATAAAAACTAAACAGAAGAATTCTGAGAAATTTCATTCTCATGTGTGCATTCACCTCACAGAATTTAAGCTTTCTTTTGATTGAGCAGTATGGAAGTGGTTGTCTTTTAGAATCTGGAAAGGGATATTTCTTGGCCCTTTGAGGCCTATGGTGAAACTGGAAATATCTTTACATGAAAACTAGACCGAAGCGTTCCGAGGAACTTCTTTGTGATGTCTCCATTCATCTGACAGAGTTGAAGGTTTCTTTTAATTCAGCACTGTGGAAACCGTATTTTTGCAGAATCTGCAAAGGGATATTTTTGAGACCTTTGAAGCCTACAGTGAAATAGTAAATATCTTCACATAGAAACTAGACAGGAGCTTTCTGAGAAACTTCTTTGTGATGTGTGCATTCATCTCACAGTGTTGAAACTTTATTTTATTTGAGCAGTTTAGAGACAGTCTTTTTCTGCAATCTGCAAAGGCTTATTTCTGAGCCATTTGAGGTCTGTGGTGAAAGAGAAATATCTTCACATTTAAACTAGACAGAAGAATTCTGAGAAACTTCTTTGTGATGTGTGCATTCATCTCAGAGAGGTGAACTTTTCTTTTGATGGAGCAGTTTGGAAACAGTATTTTTTTAGTATCTGCAGAAGGATATTTGTGAGCAGTTTAAGGCCTATGGTGAAAAAGGAAATATCTTCACATAAAAACTAGACAGAAGATTTCTGAGAAACTTTCTTGTGATGGGTGCTTTCATCTCACAGAGTTGAAAATTTCTTTTGATTGAGCAGTTTGGAAACAGTCTTTTCGTATCATCTGCAAAGGGATGTTTGGAGCGCTTTGTGGTCTAAGGTGAAAATGGAAATATCTTCACATAAAATCTAGACAGAAGCATTCTGAGAAACTTCTTTGTGATGTGTTCATTCACCTCACAATGTTGAACGTTTCTTTTGATTGAGAGCTTTGTAAACAGAACTTTTGTAGAATCTGCAAAGGGATATTTGTGAGCCCCTTGATTCCTATGGCAAAATAGGAATTATCTTGAGATAAAAACTAGACAGAAGAATTCTGAGAAACTTCTCTTTGATGAGTGCATTCATTTCACATATTTGAAACATGCTATATGGGCCAGTTTGGAAACAGTCTTTTTGTAGTGTCTGCAGACAGATATTTTTGAGTGGCTTAAAGACTGTGGTGAAAAAAGAAATATCTTCACAGAGTAACCAGACAGAAGCTTTCTGAGAAACTTCTTTGTGATGTGTGCTTTCGTCTCACAGAGTTGAGCCTTTCTGTTGATTGACCAGTTTGGAAACATTCTTTCTGTAGAATCCGCAAATGGATATTTGGAGCAATTTGCGGCCTACGGTGAAGAAGGAAATATCTTCACATAAAAACTAGACAGAAGCATTTTGAGAAACTTCTTTTTGATGTGTGTATTCATCTCACAGAGTTGAACGTTTCTTTTGATTTAGCAATTTGGAGAAAGTCTCTTGGTAGTATAAGCAGAGTTATGTTTGTGAGTGGTTTAAGGCCTACGGTGCCAAAGGAAATACCTTCACATAAAATGTAGACAGAAGAATTTTGAGAAAACTCCTTGTGACATTTCCATTCATCTCTAATAGTTGACCATTTCTTCTCATTGAGCAGTTTGGAAACAGTCTTTTCCTACAAACTGCAAAGGGATATTTCTGAGCCGTTTGGGGCCAATGGTGAAAAATAAATATCTTCACATGAAAACTAGGCAGAAGCTTTCTGACAAATTTCTTTGTGATGTGCACGTTTGTCACACGGAACTGAACCTTTCTTCTGATTGAGCAGTTTGGAATCAGTCTTTTTGTAGAATCTGTGAATGTATATTTAGAGAGTTTTAAGGCCTAGAGTGAAAAAGGAAACGTCTTCACATAAAAACGACGCAGTAGCTTTCTGAGAAACTTCTTTGTGATGTGTCCATTCATCGCACAGAGTGAAACCTGTCTTTTGATTGAGGAGTTTGGAAAATGTCTTTTCTTAGAATCTGCAAAGGCATATTTGTGAGCCCTTTATGGCCTTTGTTGAAATATGAAATATCTTCACATAAAAAGTAGACAGAAGATTTCTGAGAAATCTCTTTGTGATGTGTGAATTCATGTCACAGAATTCAACCTTCCTTTCAGTTGAGCAGTTTGGAACCAGTCTTTTGTAGAAGCTGCAGAGGGAAATTTCTTAGCTGCTTGAGGCCTATGGTGAACCAGAAATAGCCTCACATAAAAAGTAGACAGAAGATTTCTGAGAAACTTCTTTGTGATGTGTGCTTTCATCTCACAGTGTTGAACCTTTCTTTGATTGAGCAGTTTGGAAAGTCTTTTTTGTAGAATCTGCAAATGGATATTTGGAGCTATTTCAGGCCCATGGTGAAAAAGAAAGTATCTTCACATAAAAACTAGACAGAATCATTCCAAGAAATTTTCTGCGATGAGTCCATTCACGTCACAGAGTTGAACCTTTCTTTTGATTGAGCAGTTTGGAAACAGTCTTTTTGTGGAACCTGCAAAGGGATATTTGTGAGCCCCTTGTGGTCTTTGGTGAAATACGAAATATCTTCAAATAAAAACTAGACAGGAGCTTTCTGAGAAACTAACTTGTGATGTGTGCATTCACCTCACAGAGTTGAAACTTTCTTTTGATTGAGCAGATTGGAAAGAGGCTTATTGTACAATCTGCAAAGGGAGAATTCCGATCCGTTTGAGGCTTCTGGTGAAAGAGAAACATCTTCCCATAAAAACTAGACGGAAGCTTTCTAAGAAACTTCGGTGTGATGTGGGCTTTCATCTCACAGAATTGAAACTTTCTTTTGATTGAGGAGTTTGGAAACACTCTTTTTCTAGAATCTGCAAGTGGATATTTGGAGAGCTTTTGAGGCCCATGTTGAAAAACGAAACATCTTCACGTAAAAACTAAACAGAAGCATTCTGAGAAACTTCTTTGTGATGTGTGCATTCATCTCACAGAGTTGAAACTTTCTTTGGATTGAGCAGTTTGGAAACAGTCCTTTTGTAGAATCTGCAAAGGGATATTTCTGAGCCCATTGAGTACTATGGTGAAATGTGAAATATCTTCACATAAAAACTAGACAGAAGTTTTCTGAGAAACTACTTTTCGATGTGTCCATTAATCTAACAGAGTTGAAACTTTCTTTTTATTGAGCAGTTTGGATACAGTCTTTTTGTAGAATCTGCAAAAAATATTTGTGAGCCCTTTATTGCCTATGGTGAAATAGGAATCTTCTTCACATATAAACTAGACAGAAGCTTTCGGAGAAACTTCTTTGAGATGTGTGCTTTCACCTCACAGAGTTAAACACTTTCTTTTGATTGAGCTGTTTGGAAACACTCTTTTTGTGAAATCTGTAAATGGATATTAGGAGTGCTTTGAGACCAATGGTGACAAAGGAAATATCTTCACATAAAAACTACACAGAAGAATTCTGAGAAACTTCATTCTGACGTGGGCATTAACCTCAGAGAATTTAACCTTTCTTTTGATTGAGAAGTATGGAAACGGCCGTCTTTTAAAATCTGGAATGGGATATTTCTTAGCCCTTTGAGGCCTACGGTGAAACTGGAAATATCTTCACATGAAAAGTAGACCGAAGCGTTCCGAGGAACTTCTTTGTGATGTCTCCATTCATCTGACAGAGTTGAAGGTTTCTTTTAATTCAGCACTGTGGAAACCGTATTTTTGCAGAATCTGCAAAGGGATATTTTTGAGACCTTTGAAGCCTACAGTGAAATAGTAAATATCTTCACATAGTAACTAGACAGGAGCTTTCTGAGAAACTTCTTTGTGATGTGTGCATTCATCTCACAGTGTTGAAACTTTATTTTATTTGAGCAGTTTAGAGACAGTCTTTTTCTGCAATCTGCAAAGGCATATTTCTGAGCCATTTGAAGTCTGTGGTGAAAGAGAAATATCTTCACATTTAAACTAGACAGAAGAATTCTGAGAAACTTCTTTATGATGGGTGCATTCATCTCAGGTAGGTGAAATTTTCTTTTGATGGAGCAGTTTGGAAACAGTCTTTTTCTAGTATCTGCAGAAGGATATTTGTGAGCGGTGTAAGGACTACGCTGAAAAAGGAAATATCTTCACATAAAAACTAGACAGAAGATTTCTGAGAAACTTTTTTGTGATGGGTGCTTTCATCTCACAGAGTTGAAAATTTCTTTTGATTGAGCAGTTTGGAAACAGTCTTTTCGTATCATCTGCAAAGGGATGTTTGGAGCGCTTTGTGGCCTAAGGTGAAAATGGAAATGTCTTCACAGAAAATCTAGACAGAAGCATTCTGAGAAACTTCTTTGTGATGTGTTCATTCATCTCACAATGTTGAACGTTTCTTTTGATTGAGAGGTTTGTAAACAGAACTTTTGTAGAATCTGCAAAGGGATATTTGTGAGCCCCTTGATTCCTATGGCAAAATAGGAATTATCTTGAGATAAAAACTAGACAGAAGAATTCGGAGAAACTTCTCTTTGATGAGTGCATTCATTTCACATAGTTGAAACATGCTATATGGGCCAGTTTGGAAACTGTCTTTTTGTAGTGTCTGCAGACAGATATTTTTGAGTGGCTTAAAGACTGTGGTGAAAAAAGAAATATCTTCACAGAGTAACCAGACAGAAGCTTTCTGAGAAACTTCTTTGTGATGTGTGCTATCGTCTCACAGAGTTGAGCCTTTCTGTTGATTGACCAGTTTGGAAACATTCTTTTTGTAGAATCCGCAAATGGATATTTGGAACAATTTGCGGCCTACGGTGAAGAAGGAAATATCTTCACATAAAAACTAGACAGAACCATTTTGAGAAACTTCTTTTTGATGTGTGTATTCATCTCACAGAGTTGAACGTTTCTTTTGATTTAGCAATTTGGAGAAAGTCTCTTGGTAGTATAAGCGGAGTTATGTTTGTGAGTGGTTTAAGGCCTACGGTGCCAAAGGAAATACCTTCACAAAAAATGTAGACAGAAGCTTTTTGAGAAAACTCTTTGTGACATGTCCATTCATCTCTAATAGTTGACCATTTCTTCTCATTGAGCAGTTTGGAAACAGTCTTTTCCTACAAACTGCAAAGGGACATTTCTGAGCCGTTTGGGGCCAATGGTGAAAAATAAATATCTTCACATGAAAACTAGACAGAAGGTTTCTGACAAATTTCTTTCTGATGTGCACGTTTGTCACACGGAACTGAACCTTTCTTCTGATTGAGCAGTTTGGAATCAGTCTTTTTGTAGAATCTGTGAATGTATATTTAGAGAGTTTTAAGGCCTAGAGTGAAAAAGGAAACGTCTTCACATAAAAACGACACAGTAGCTTTCTGAGAAACTTCTTCGTGATGTGTCCATTCATCTCACAGAGTTAAACCTTTCTTTTGGTTGAGGAGTTTGGAAAACGTCTTTTCTTAGAATCTGCGAAGGGATATTTGTGAGTCCTTTATGGCCTTTGTTGAAATATGAAATATCTTCACATAAAAAGTAGACAGAAGATTTCTGAAAAACCTCTTTGTGATGTGTGAATTCATGTCACAGAATTCAACCTTTCTTTCAGTTGAGCAGTTTGGAAACAGTCTTTTGTAGAAGCTGCAGAGGGAAATTTCTTAGCTGCTTGAGGCCTATGGTGAACAAGAAATAGCCTCACATAAAAACTAGACAGAAGATTTCTGAGAAACTTCTTTGTGATGTGTGCCTTCATCTCACTGTGTTGAACCTTTCTTTTGATTGAGCAGTTTGGGAAGTCTTTCTGTAGAATCTGCAAATGGATATTTGGAGATATTTGAGGCCCGTGGTGAAAAAGGAAGTATCTTCACATAAAATCTAGACAGAATCATTCCGAGAAATTTTTTGTGATGTGTCCATTCACGTCACAGAGTTGAACCTTTCTTTTGATTGAGCAGTTTGGAAACAGTCTTTGTGTAGAACCTGCAAAGGGATATTTGTGAGTCCCTTATGGCCTGTGGTGAAATACGAAATATCTTCACACAAAAACTAGACAGGAGCTTTCTGAGAAACTCCCTTGTGATGTGTGCATTCACCTCCCAGAGTTGAAACTTTCTTTTGATTGAGCAGATTGGAAAGAGGCTTACTGTACAATCTGCAAAGGGAGAATTCTGATCCGTTTGAGGCTTCTGGTGAAAGAGAAACATCTTCCCATAAAAACTACAAGGAATCTTTCTAAGAAACTTCGGTGTGATGTGTGCTTTCATCTCACAGAATTGAAACTTTCTTTTGATTGAGGAGTTTGGAAACACTCTTTTTCTAGAATCTGCAAGTGGATATTTGGAGAGCTTTTGAGGCCCATGTTGAAAAACGAAACATCTTCACGTAAAAACTAAACAGAAGCATTCTGAGGAACTTCTTTGTGATGTGTGCATTCATCTCACATAGTTGAAACTTTTTTTGGATTGAGCAGTTTGGAAACAGTCATTTTGTAAAATCTGCAAAGGGATATTTCTGAACCCATTGAGTACTATGGTGCAATGTGAAATATCTTCACATAAAAACTAGACAAAAGTTTTCTGAGAAACTACTTTTCGATGTGTCCATTAATCTAACAGAGTTAAAACTTTCTTTTTATTGAGCAGTTAGGATACAGTCTTTTTGTAGAATCTGCAAAAAATATTTGTGAGCCCTTTATTGCCTATGGTGAAATAGGAATCTTCTTCACATATAAACTAGACAGAAGCTTTCTGAGAAACTTCATTGAGATGTGTGCTTTCACCTCACAGAGTTAAACACTTTCTTTTGATTGAGCTGTTTGGAAACACTCTTTTTGTGAAATCTGTAAATAGTTATTAGGAGTGATATGAGGCCAATGGTGGCAAAGGAAATATCTTTACATAAAAACTAAACAGAAGAATTCTGAGAAACTTCATTCTGATGTGTGCATTCACCTCACAGAATTTAACCTTTCTTTTGATTGAGCAGTATGGAAATGTTCGTCTTTTAGAATTTGGAAAGGGATATTTCTTAGCCCTTTGAGGCCTATGGTGAAACTGGAAATATCTTCACATGAAAACTAGACCAAAGCATTCCGAGGAACTTCTTTGTGATGTCTCCATTCATCTGACAGAGTTGAAGGTTTCTTTTAATTCAGCACTGTGGAAACCGTATTTTTGTAGAATCTGCAAAGGGATATTTTTGAGACCTTTGAAGCCTACAGTGAAATAGTAAATATCTTCACATAGAAACTAGACAGGAGCTTTCTGAGAAACTTCTTTGTGATGTGTGCATTCATCTCACAGTGTTGAAACTTTATTTTATTTGAGCAGTTTAGAGACAGTCTTTTTCTGCAATCTGCAAAGGCATATTTCTGAGCCATTTGAGGTCTGTGGTGAAAGAGAAATATCTTCACATTTAAACTAGACAGAAGAATTCTGAGCAAACTTCTTTATGATGGGTGCATTCATCTCAGGTAGGTGAAATTTTCTTTTGATGGAGCAGTTTGGAAACAGTCTTTTTCTAGTATCTGCAGAAGGATATTTGTGAGCGGTGTAAGGACTACGCTGAAAAAGGAAATATCTTCACATAAAAACTAGACAGAAGATATCTGAGAAACTTTTTTGTGATGGGTGCTTTCATCTCACAGAGTTGAAAATTTCTTTTGATTGAGCAGTTTGGAAACAGTCTTTTCGTATCATCTGCAAAGGGATGTTTGGAGCGCTTTGTGGCCTAAGGTGAAAATGGAAATATCCTCACATAAAATCTAGACAGAAGCATTCTGAGAAACTTCTTTGTGATGTGTTCATTCATCTCACAATGTTGAACGTTTCTTTTGATTGAGAGGTTTGTAAACACAACTTTTGTAGAATCTGCAAAGGGATATTTGTGAGCCCCTTGATTCCTATGGCAAAATAGGAATTCTCTTGAGATAAAAACTAGACAGAAGAATTCTGAGAAACTTCTCTTTGATGAGTGCATTCATTTCACATAGTTGAAACATGCTATATGGGCCAGTTTGGAAACAGTCTTTTTGTAGTGTCTGCAGACAGATATTTTTGAGTGGCTTAAAGACTGTGGTGAAAAAAGAAATATCTTCACAGAGTAACCAGACAGAAGCTTTCTGAGAAACTTTGTGATGTGTGTTTTCGTCTCACAGAGTTGAGCCTTTCTTTTGATTGACCAGTTTGGAAACACTCTTTTTGTAGAATCTGCAAATGGATATTTGGAGCAATTTGAGAACTATGGTGAAAAAGGAAATATCTTCACATAAAAACTAGACAGAAAGCATTTTGAGAAACTTCTTTTTGATGTGTGTATTCATCTCACAGAGTTGAACGTTTCTTTTGATTTAGCGATTTGGAGAAAGTCTCTTGGTAGTATAAGCGGAGTTATGTTTGTGAGTGGTTTAAGGCCTACGGTGCCAAAGGAAATACCTTCACATAAAATGTAGACAGAAGCTTTATGAGAAAACTCTTTGTGACATTTCCATTCATCTCTAATAGTTGACCATTTCTTTTCATTGAGCAGTTTGGAAACAGTCTTTTCCTACAAACTGCAAAGGGATATTTCTGAGCCGTTTGGGGCCAATGGTGAAAAATAAATATCTTCACATGAAAACTAGACAGAAGCTTTCTGACAAATTTCTTTGTGATGTGCACGTTTGTCACACGGAATTGAAACTTTCTTCTGATTGAGCAGTTTGGAATCCGTCTTTTTGTAGAATCTGTGAATGTATATTTAGAGAGTTTTAAGGCCTAGAGTGAAAAAGGAAACGTCTTCACATAAAAACGACACAGTAGCTTTCTGAGAAACTTCTTTGTGATGTGTCCATTCATCGCACAGAGTGAAACCTTTCTTTTGATTGAGGAGTTTGGAAAATGTCTTTTCTTAGAATCTGCAAAGGGATATTTGTGATCCTTTTATGGCCTTTGTTGAAATATGAAATATCTTCACGTAAAAAGTAGACAGAAGATTTCTGAAAAACCTCTTTGTGATGTGTGAATTCATGTCACAGAATTCAACCTTCCTTTCAGTTGAGCAGTTTGGAACCAGTCTTTTGTAGAAGCTGCAGAGGGAAATTTCTTAGCTGCTTGAGGCCTATGGTGAACAAGAAATAGCCTCACATAAAAAGTAGACAGAAGATTTCTGAGAAACTTTTTTGTGATGTGTGCCTTCATCTCACTGTGTTGAACCTTTCTTTTGTTTGAGCAGTTTGGGAAGTCTTTCTGTAGAATCTGCAAATGGATATTTGGAGATATTTGAGGCCCTTGGTGAAAAAGGAAGTATCTTCACATAAAACTAGACAGAATCATTCCGAGAAATTTTTTGTGATGTGTCCATTCACGTCACAGAGTTGAACCTTTCTTTTGATTGAGCAGTTTGGAAACAGTCTTTGTGTAGAACCTGCAAAGGGATATTTGTGAGCCCCTTATGGCCTGTGGTGAAATACGAAATATCTTCACACAAAAACTAGACAGGAGCTTTCTGAGAAACTCCCTTGTGATGTGTGCATTCACCTCACAGAGTTGAAACTTTCTTTTGATTGAGCAGATTGGAAAGAGGCTTATTGTACAATCTGCAAAGGGAGAATTCTGATCCGTTTGAGGCTTATGGTGAAAGAGAAACATCTTCCCATAAAAACTAGACGGAAGCTTTCTAAGAAACTTCGTTGTGATGTGTGCTTTCATCTCACGGAATTGAAACTTTCTTTTGATTGAGGAGTTTGGAAACACTCTTTTTCTAGAATCTGCAAATGGATATTTGGAGAGATCCTGAGGCCCATGTTGAAAAACGAAACATCTTCACGTAAAAACTAAACAGAAGCATTCTGAGGAACTTCTTTGTGATGTGTGCATTCATCTCACATAGTTGAAACTTTCTTTGGATTGAGCAGTTTTGAAACAGTCCTTTTGTAGAATCTGCCAAGGGATATTTCTGAGCCCATTGAGTACTATGATGCACTGTGAAGTATCTTCACATAAAAACTAGACAGAAGTTTTCCGAGAAACTACTTTTCGATGTGTCCGTTAATCTAACAGAGTTAAAACTTTCTTTTTATTGAGCAGTTTGGACACAGTCTTTTTGTAGAAACTGCAAAAAATATTTGTGAGCCCTTTATTGCCTATGGTGAAATAGGAATCTTCTTCACATATAAACTAGACAGAAGCTTTCTGAGAAACTCCTTGGAGATGTGTGCTTTCACCTCACAGAGTTAAACACTTTCTTTTGATTGAGCTGTTTGGAAACACTCTTTTTGTGAAATCTGTAAATGGATATTAGGAGTGCTTTGAGGCCAATGGTGACAAAGGAAATATCTTCACATAAAAACTAAACAGAAGAATTCTGAGAAACTTCATTCTGACGTGGGCATTAACCTCAGAGAATTTAACCTTTCTTTTGATTGAGAAGTATGGAAACGGTCGTCTTTTAGAATCTGGAAAGGGATATTTCTTAGCCCTTTGAGGCCTACGGTGAAACTGGAAATATCTTCACATGAAAAGTAGACCGAAGCATTCCGAGGAACTTCTTTGTGATGTCTCCATTCATCTGACAGAGTTGAAGGTTTCTTTTAATTCAGCACTGTGGAAACCGTATTTTTGTAGAATCTGTAAAGGGATATTTTTGAGACCTTTGAAGCCTATAGTGAAATAGTAAATATCTTCACATAGAAACTAGACAGGAGCTTTCTGAGAAACTTCTTTGTGATGTGTGCATTCATCTCACAGTGTTGAAACTTTATTTTATTTGAGCAGTTTAGAGACAGTCTTTTTCTGCAATCTGCAAAGGCATATTTCTGAGCCATTTGAGGTCTGTGGTGAAAGAGAAATATCTTCACATTTAAACTGGACAGAAGAATTCTGAGAAACTTCTTTATGATGTGTGCATTCATCTCAGGTAGGTGAAATTTTCTTTTGATGGAGCAGTTTGGAAACAGTCTTTTTCTAGTATCTGCAGAAGGATATTTGTGAGCGGTGTAAGGACTATGGTGAAAAAGGAAATATCTTCACATAAAAACTAGACAGAAGATTTCTGAGAAACTTTTTTGTGATGGGTGCTTTCATCTCACAGAGTTGAAAATTTCTTTTGATTGAGCAGTTTGGAAACAGTCTTTTCGTATCATCTGCAAAGGCATGTTTGGAGCGCTTTGTGGCCTAAGGTGAAAATGGAAATATCTTCACATAAAATCTAGACAGAAGCATTCTGAGAAGCTTCTTTATGATGTGTTCATTCATCTCACAATGTTGAACGTTTCTTTTGATTGAGAGGTTTGTAAACAGAACTTTTGTAGAATCTGCAAAGGGATATTTGTGAGCCCCTTGATTCCTATGGCAAAATAGGAATTATCTTGAGATAAAAACTAGACAGAAGAATTCTGAGAAACTTCTCTTTGATGAGTGCATTCATTTCACATAGTTGAAACATGCTATATGGGCCAGTTTGGAAACCGTCTTTTTGTAGTGTCTGCAGACAGATATTTTTGAGTGGCTTAAAGACTGTGGTGAAAAAAGAAATATCTTCACAGAGTAACCAGACAGAAGCTTTCTGAGAAACTTCTTTGTGATGTGTGCTTTCGTCTCACAGAGTTGAGCCTTTCTGTTGATTGACCAGTTTGGAAACATTCTTTTTGTAGAATCCGCAAATGGATATTTGGAACAATTTGCGGCCTACGGTGAAGAAGGAAATATCTTCACATAAAAACTAGACAGAAGCATTTTGAGAAACTTCTTTTTGATGTGTGTATTCATCTCACAGAGTTGAACGTTTCTTTTGATTTAGCAATTTGGAGAAAGTCTCTTGGTAGTATAAGCGGAGTTATGTTTGTGAGTGGTTTAAGGCCTAAGGTGCCAAAGGAAATACCTTCACATAAAATGCAGACAGAAGCTTTTTGAGAAAACTCTTTGTGACATTTCCATTCATCTCTAAGAGTTGACCATTTCTTTTCATTGAGCAGTTTGGAAACAGTCTTTTTGTACAAAATGCAAAGGGATATTTCTGAGCAGTTTGAGGCCAATGGTGAAAAATAAATATCTTCACATGAAAACTAGACAGAAGCTTTCTGACAAATTGCTTTGTGATGTGCAAGTTTGTCACACGGAATTGAACTTTTCTTCTGATTGAGCAGTTTGGAATCAGTCTTTTTGTAGAATCTGTGAATGTATATTTAGGGAGTTTTAAGGCCTAGAGTGAAAAAGGAAACGTCTTCACATAAAAACGACACAGTAGCTTTCTGAGAAACTTCTTTGTGATGTGTCCATTCATCGCACAGAGTGAAACCTTTCTTTTGATTGAGGAGTTTGGAAAATGTCTTTCCTTAGAATCTGCAAAGGGATATTTGTGAGCCCTTTATGGCCTTTGTTGAAATATGAAATATCTTCACATAAAAAGTAGACAGAAGATTTCTGAAAAACCTCTTTGTGATGTGTGAATTCATGTCACAGAATTCAACCTTCCTTTCAGTTGAGCAGTTTGGAACCAGTCTTTTGTGGAAGCTGCAGAGGGAAATTTCTTAGCTGCTTGAGGCCTATGGTGAACAAGAAATAGCCTCACATAAAAAGTAGACAGAAGATTTCTGAGAAAGTTCTTTGTGATGTGTGCCTTCATCTCACTGTGTTGAACCTTTCTTTTGATTGAGCAGTTTGGGAAGTCTTTCTGTAGAATCTGCAAATGGATATTTGGAGATATTTGAGGCCCTTGGTGAAAAAGGAAGTATCTTCACATAAAAACTAGACAGAATCATTCCGAGAAATTTTTTGTGATGTGTCCATTCACGTCACAGAGTTGAACCTTTATTTTGATTGAGCAGTTTGAAAACAGTCTTTTTGTAGAACCTGCAAAGGGATATTTGTGAGCCCCTTATGGCCTGTGGTGAAATACGAAATATCTTCACATAAAAACTAGACAGGAGCTTTCTCAGAAACTCCCTTGTGATGTGTGCATTCACCTCACAGACTTGAAACTGTCTTTTGATTGAGCAGATTGGAAAGAGGCTTATTGTACAATCTGCAAAGGGAGAATTCTGATCCGTTTGAGGCTTCTGGTGAAAGAGAAACATCTTCCCATAAAAACTAGACGGAAGCTTTCTAAGAAACTTCGGTGTGATGTGTGTTTTCATCTCAGGGAATTGAAACTTTCTTTTCATTGAGGAGTTTGGAAACACTCTTTTTCTAGAATCTGCAAATGGATATTTGGAGAGATTCTGAGGCCCATGTTGAAAAACGAAACATCTTCACGTAAAAACTAAACAGAAGCATTCTGAGGAACTTCTTTGTGATGGGTGCATTCATCTCACATAGTTGAAACTTTCTTTGGATTGAGCAGTTTTGAAACAGTCCTTTTGTAGAATCTGCCAAGGGATATTTCTGAGCCGATTGAGTACTATGCTGCAATGTGAAGTATCTTCACATAAAAACTAGACAGAAGTTTTCTGAGAAACTACTTTTCGATGTGTCCGTTAATCTAACAGAGTTAAAACTTTCTTTTTATTGAGCAGTTTGGACACAGTCTTTTTGTAGAATCTGCAAAAAATATTTGTGAGCCCTTTATTGCCTATGGTGAAATAGGAATCTTCTTCACATATAAACTAGACAGAAGCTTTCTGAGAAACTTCTTGGAGATGTGTGCTTTCACCTCACAGAGTTAAACACTTTCTTTTGATTGAGCTGTTTGGAAACACTCTTTTTGTGAAATCTGTAAATGGATATTAGGAGTGCTTTGAGGCCAATGGTGACAAAGGAAATATCTTCACATAAAAACTAAACAGAAGAATTCTGAGAAACTTCATTCTGACGTGGGCATTAACCTCAGAGAATTTAACCTTTCTTTGGATTGAGAAGTATGGAAACGGTCGTCTTTTAGAATCGGGAAAGGGATATTTCTTAGCCCTTTGAGGCCTACGGTGAAACTGGAAATATCTTCACATGAAAAGTAGACCGAAGCATTCCGAGGAACTTCTTTGTGATGTCTCCATTCATCTGACAGAGTTGAAGGTTTCTTTTAATTCAGCACTGTGGAAACCGTATTTTTGCAGAATCTGCAAAGGGATATTTTTGAGACCTTTGAAGCCTACAGTGAAATAGTAAATATCTTCACATAGAAACTAGACAGGAGCTTTCTGAGAAACTTCTTTGTGATGTGTGCATTCATCTCACAGTGTTGAAACTTTATTTTATTTGAGCAGCTTAGAGACAGTCTTTTTCTGCAATCTGCAAAGGCATATTTCTGAGCCATTTGAGGTCTGTGGTGAAAGAGAAATATCTTCACATTTAAACTAGACAGAAGAATTCTGAGAAACTTCTTTATGACGTGTGCATTCATCTCAGGTAGGTGAAATTTTCTTTTGATGGAGCAGTTTGGAAACAGTCTTTTTCTAGTATCTGCAGAAGGATATTTGTGAGCGGTGTAAGGACTATGCTGAAAAAGCAAATATCTTCACATAAAAACTAGACAGAAGATTTCTGAGAAACTTTTTTGTGATGGGTGCTTTCATCTCACAGAGTTGAAAGTTTCTTTTGATTGAGCAGTTTGGAAACAGTCTTTTCGTATCATCTGCAAAGGGATGTTTGGAGCGCTTTGTGGCCTAAGGTGAAAATGGAAATATCTTCACATAAAATCTAGACAGAAGCATTCTGAGAAACTTTCTTTGTGATGTGTTCATTCATCTCACAATGTTGAACGTTTCTTTTGATTGAGAGGTTTGTAAACAGAACTTTTGTAGAATCTGCAAAGGGATATTTGTGAGCCCCTTGATTCCTATGGCAAAATAGGAATTATCTTGAGATAAAAACTAGACAGAAGAATTCTGAGAAACTTCTCTTTGATGAGTGCATTCATTTCACATAGTTGAAAAATGCTATATGGGCCAGTTTGGAAACAGTCTTTTTGTAGTGTCTGCAGACAGATATTTTTGAGTGGCTTAAAGACTGTGGTGAAAAAAGAAATATCTTCACAGAGTAACCAGACAGAGGCTTTCCGAGAAACTTCTTTGTGATGTGTGCTTTCGTCTCACAGAGTTGCGCCTTTCTGTTGATTGACCAGTTTGGGAACATTCTTTTTGTAGAATCTGCAAATGGATATTTGGAGCAATTTGTGGCCTATGGTGAAAAAGGAAATATCTTCACATAAAAACTAGACAGGAGCATTTTGAGAAACTTCTTTTTGATGTGTGTATTCATCTCACAGAGTTGAACCTTTCTTTTCATTTAGCAATTTGGAGAAAGTCTCTTGGTAGTATAAGTGGAGTTATATTTGCGAGCGGTTTAAGGCCTATGGTGCCAAAGGAAATACCTTGACATAAAATGCAGACAGAAGCTGTTTGAGAAAACTCTTTGTGACATTTCCATTCATCTCTAATAGTTGGCCATTTCCTTTCATTGAGCAGTTTGGAAGCAGTCTTTTTCTACAAACTGCAAAGGGATATTTCTGAGCGGTTTGGGGCCAACGGTGAAAAATAAATATCTTCCCATGAAAACTAGACAGAAGCTTTCTGACAAATTTCTTAGTGATGTGCACGTTTGTCACACGGAATTGAACCCTTCTTCTGATTGAGCAGTTTGGAATCAGTCTTTTTGTAGAATCTGTGAATGTGTATTTAGAGAGTTTTAAGGCCTAGGGTGCAAGAGGCAATGTCTTCACATAAAAACGACACAGTAGCTTTCTGAGAAACTTCTTTGTGATGTGTCCATTCATCGCACAGAGTGGAACCTTTCTTTTGATTGAGGAGTTTGTAAAATGTCTTTTCTTAGAATCTGCAAAGGGATATTTGTGAGCCCTTTATGGCCTTTGTTGAAATATGAAATATCTTCACATAAAAAGTAGACAGAAGATTTCTGAGAAACTTCTTTGTGATGTGTGAATTCATGTCACAGAATTCAACCTTTCTTTTGATTCAGCAGTTGGAGACAGTCTTTTGTAGAAGCTGCAAAGGGAAATTTCTTAGACCTTTGAGGCCTATGGTGAAAAAGAAATATCTTCACATAAAAACTAGACAGAAGATTTCTGAGAAACTTCTTTGTGATGTGTGCCTTCATCTCACTGTGTTGAACCTTTCTTTTGATTGAGCAGTTTGGGAAGTCTTTCTGTAGAATCTGCAAATGGATATTTGGAGATATTTGAGGTCCTTGGTGAAAAAGGAAGTATCTTCACATAAAAACTAGACAGAATCATTCCGAGAAATTTTTTGTGATGTGTCCATTCACGTCACAGAGTTGAACCTTTCTTTTGATTGAGCAGTTTGGAAACTGTCTTTTTGTAGAACCTGCAAAGGGATATTTGTGAGCCCCTTATGGCCTGTGGTGAAATACGAAGTATCTTCACACAAAAACTAGACAGGAGCTTTCTGAGAAACTTCCTTGTGATGTGTGCATTCACCTCACAGAGTTGAACCTTTCTTTTGATTGAGCAGGTTGGAAAGAGGCTTATTGTACAATCCGCAAAGGGATAATTCTGATCCATTTGAGGCCTATGGTGAAAGAGAAATATCTTCACATAAAAACTAGACAGAAGCTTTCTAAGAAACTTCGGTGTGATGTGTGCTTTCATCTCACAGAATTGAAACTTTCTTTTGATTGAGGAGTTTGGAAACACTCTTTTTCTATAATCTGCAAATGGATATTTGGAGAGATTTTGAGGCCCATGTGGAAAAACGAAACATCTTCGCGTAAAAACTAAACAGAAACATTCTGAGGAACTTCTTTGTGATGTGTGCATTCATCTCACATAGTTGAAACTTTCTTTGGATTGAGCAGTTTTGAAACAGTCCTTTTGTAGAATCTGCCAAGGGATACTTCTGAGCCCATTGAGTACTATGATGCACTGTGAAGTATCTTCACATAAAAACTAGACAGAAGTTTTCTGAGAAACTCCTTTTCGATGTGTCCGTTAATCTAACAGAGTTAAAACTTTCTTTTTATTGAGCAGTTTGGATACAGTCTTTTTGTAGAATCTGCAAAACATATTTGCGAGCCCTTTATTGCCTATGGTGAAATAGGAATCTTCTTCACATATAAACTAGACAGAAGCTTTCTGAGAAACTTCATTGAGATGTGTGCTTTCACCTCACAGAGTTAAACACTTTCTTTTGATTGAGCTGTTTGGAAACACTCTTTTTGTGAAATCTGTAAATAGTTATTAAGACTGATATGAGGCCAATGGTGGCAAAGGAAATATCTTTACATAAAAACTAAACAGAAGAATTCTGAGAAACTTCATTCTGACGTGGGCATTAACCTCAGAGAATTTAACCTTTCTTTGGATTCAGAAGTATGGAAACGGTCGTCTTTTAGAATCTGGAAAGGGATATTTCTTAGCCCTTTGAGGCCTACGGTGAAACTGGAAATATCTTCACATGAAAAGTAGACCGAAGCATTCCGAGGAACTTCTTTGTGATGTCTCCATTCATCTGACAGAGTTGAAGGTTTCTTTTAATTCAGCACTGTGGAAACCATATTTTTGTAGAATCTGCAAAGGGATATTTTTGAGACCTTTGAAGCCTATAGTGAAATAGTAAATATCTTCACATAGAAACTAGACAGGAGCTTTCTGAGAAACTTCTTTGTGATGTGTGCATTCATCTCACAGTGTTGAAACTTTATTTTATTTGAGCAGTTTAGAGACAGTCTCTTTCTGCAATCTGCAAAGGTATATTTCTGAGCCATTTGAGGTCTGTGGTGAAAAAGGATTATCTTCACATTTAAACTAGACAGAAGAATTCTGAGAAACTTCTTTGTGATGTGTGCATTCATCTCAGGTAGGTGAAATTTTCTTTTGATGGAGCAGTTTGGAAACAGTCTTTTTCTAGTATCTGCAGAAGGATATTTGTGAGCGGTGTAAGGACTACGCTGAAAAAGGAAATATCTACACATAAAAACTAGAGAGAAGATTTCTGAGAAACTTTTTTGTGATGGGTGCTTTCATCTCACAGAGTTGAAAATTTCTTTTGATTGAGCAGTTTGGAAACAGTCTTTTCGTATCATCTGCAAAGGGATGTTTGGAGCGCTTTGTGGCCTAAGGTGAAAATGGAAATATCTTCACATAAAATCTAGACAGAAGCATTCTGAGAAACTTCTTTGTGATGTGTTCATTCATCTCACAATGTTGAACGTTTCTTTTGATTGAGAGGTTTGTAAACAGAACTTTTGTAGAATCTGCAAAGGGATATTTGTGAGCCCCTTGATTCCTATGGCAAAATAGGAATTATCTTGTCATAAAAACTAGACAGGAGAATTCTGAGAAACTTCTTTGTGATGAGTGCATTCAACTCACATAGTTGAAACATTCTATATGGACCAGTTTGGAAACAGTCTTTTTGTAGTACCTGCAGAGGGATATTTTTGAGTGGTTTAAAGACTATGGTGAAAAAGGAAATATCTTCACATAATAACCAGACAGAAGCTTTCTGAGAAACTTCTTTGTGATGTGTGCTTTCGTCTCACAGAGTTGAGCCTTTCTTTTGATTGACCAGTTTGGAAACATTCTTTCTGTAGAATCCGCAAATGGATATTTGGAGCAATTTGCGGCCTACGGTGAAGAAGGAAATATCTTCACATAAAAACTAGACAGAAGCATTTTGAGAAACTTCTTTTTGATGTGTGTATTCATCTCCCAGAGTTGAACGTTTCTTTTGATTTAGCAATTTGGAGAAAGTCTCTTGGTAGTATAAGCGGAGTTATGTTTGTGAGTGGTTTAAGGCCTACGGTGCCAAAGGAAATACCTTCACATAAAATGCAGACAGAAGCTTTTTGAGAAAACTCTTTGTGACATGTCCATTCATCTCTAATAGTTGACCATTTCTTCTCATTGAGCAGTTTGGAAACAGTCTTTTCCTACAAACTGCAAAGGGACATTTCTGAGCCGTTTGGGGCCAATGGTGAAAAATAAATATCTTCACATGAAAACTAGACAAAAGCTTTCTGACAAATTGCTTTGTGATGTGCAAGTTTGTCACACGGAATTGAACTTTTCTTCTGATTGAGCAGTTTGGAATCAGTCTTTTTGTAGAATCTGTGAATGTATATTTAGAGAGTTTTAAGGCCTAGAGTGAAAAAGGAAACGTCTTCACATAAAAACGACACAGTAGCTTTCTGAGAAACTTCTTTGTGATGTGTCCATTCATCGCACAGAGTGAAACCTTTCTTTTGATTGAGGAGTTTGGAAAATGTCTTTTCTTAGAATCTGCAAAGGGATATTTGTGAGCCCTTTATGGCCTTTGTTGAAATATGAAATGTCTTCACGTAAAAAGTAGACAGAAGATTTCTGAAAAACCTCTTTGTGATGTGTGAATTCATGTCACAGAATTCAACCTTCCTTTCAGTTGAGCAGTTTGGAACCAGTCTTTTGTAGAAGCTGCAGAGGGAAATTTCTTAGCTGCTTGAGGCCTATGGTGAACAAGAAATAGCCTCACATGTAAAGTAGACAGA
>NC_000022.11:13227412-13248082 GCF_000001405.40 Homo sapiens
TGCATTCTCAGAAAGTTCTTTGTGATGTGTGCATTCAAATCACAGATTTGAACATACCTTGTCATAGAGCAGTTTTGAAACACTCGTTTCGTAGAATCTGCAACTGGGTATTTGGACTTCTTTGAGGCCTTCGTCGGAAACGGGAATATCTTCACATAAGAACTAGACAGAAGAATTCTGGGGAATTTCTTTGTGATGTGTGCATTCAACTCACAGAGTTGAACCTTTCTGTTGATAGAGCAGTTTGGAAACACTCTTTTCGCAAAATCTGCAGAGTGGATATTTGTACTGCTTAGAGGCCTTCGTTGGAAACGGGAATATCTCCACATAAAAACTAGACAGAAGCATTCTCAGAAACTTCTTTGTGATCTGCACATTCAACACAAAGAGTAGAATCTTCCTTTTGATAGAGCAGTTTTTAAACACTCTTTTTGTAGAATCTGCAAGTGGACATTTGGAAAGCTTTGAGGCCTGTGGTGGAAAAGGAAATACCTTCACATAAAAACCAGACGGAAGCATTCTCAGAAACTTCTTTGTATTGTTTGCATTCAACCCACTGAGTTGAACACACCTTTTCACAGAGCAGTTTTGAAACACTCTTTTTGTAGAATCTGCAAGTGGATATATGGAGTGCTTTGAGGCCTTCTTTGTAAACGGGAATATCTTCACATAAAAACTAGAGAGAAGCATTCTCAGAGCCTTCTTTGTGATGTGTGCATTCAACTCACAGAGCTGAACCTTTCTTTTGATAGAGGTGTTTGAAGCACTGTTTTTTTAGAATCTGCAAGTGGATATATTGAGTGCTTTGAGGCCTTCTTTGTAAACGGGAATATCTTCACATAAAAACTAGAGAGAAGCATTCTCAGAGCCTTCTTTGTGATGTGTGCATTCAACTCACAGAGCTGAACCTTTCTTTTCATAGAGCTGTTTGGAAGCACTGTTTTTTTAGAATCCGCATGTGGAAATTTTCAGAGCTTCGAGGCCTGTGGTGGAGAAGGAAATATCTTCACATAAAAACTAGACAGAAGCATTCTCAGAAACTTGTTTGTGACGTTTGCATTCAACTCACAGAGTTGAACATACCTTTTCATAGAGCAGTTTTGAAACACTCTTTTCGTAGGATCTGCAAGTGGATATTTGGACTGCTTTGAGGCCTTCGTTGGAAAGAGGAATATCTTCACATAAAAACTAGACGGAAGCATTCTCAGAAACTTCTTTGTGATGTGTGAATTCAACTCACAGAGTTGAAGCTTCCTATTGATAGAGCAGTTTTGAAAAACCGTTTTTGTAGAATCTGCCAGTGGATATTTGGAGAGCTTTGAGGCCTACGGTGGAAAAGGAAATATCTTCACATAAAAACCAGACACAAAGATTCTCAGAAACTTCTTTGTGACGCTTGCACTCAACTCACAGAGTTGAACACACCTTTTCATAGAGCAGTTTTGAAGCACTCTTTTCGTAGAATCTGCAAGTGTATATTTGGAATGCTTTGAGGCCTTCATTGTAAACGAGAATATCTTCACATAAAAACGAGACAGAAGAATTCTCAGCAACTACTTTGTGATGATTGCATTCAACTCACTGTGTTAATCTTTATTTTGATAGGGCAGTTTTGAAACACTGTTTTTGTAGCATCTGCAAGTGGTCATTTGGAGAGCTTTGAGGCCTATGGTGGAAAAGGAAATATCTTCACATAAAAACAGGACAGAAGCATTTTCAGAATCTCCGCTGTGATGTTTGCATTGAACTCACAGAGTTGAACGTCCCTTTTCATAGAGCAGTTTTGAAACACTCTTCGTAGAATCTGCCAGTGGATATTTGGACTGATTTGAGGCCTTTGTTGGACACGGGAATATCTTCATATAAAAACTAGAAAGAAGAATTCTCAGAAACTTCTTTGTGATGTGTGCATTCAACTCAGAGAGTTGAACTTTTCTTTTGATAGAGCAGTTTTGAAACAGACTTTTTGCAGAATCTGCAAGTGGACATTTGGGAAGCTTTGAGGCCTATGGTGGAAAATGATATACCTTCACATAAAAACCAGACAGATGCATTTTCAGAAACTTCTTTGCGATGTTTGCATTCAACTCACAGTGTTAACCTTTATTTTCATAGAACAGTTTTGAAACACTGTTTTTGTAGCATCTGCAAGTGGTCATTTGGAGAGCTTTGAGGCCTATTGTGGAAAAGGAAATATCTCCACATAAAAACTGGACAGAAGCATTCTCAGAATCTCCTCTGTGATGTTTGCATTCAACTCACAGAGTTGAACATACCTTTTCATAGAGCAGTTTTGAAACACTCTTTTCGTAGAATCCACAAGTGGTTATTTGGACTGATTTGAGGCCTTTGTTGGAAACGGGAATACCTTCACATAAAATCTAGAAAGAAGAATTCTCAGAAACTTCTTTGTGATATGTGCATTCAACTCAGAGAGTTGAACTTTTCTTTTCATAGAGCAGTTTTGAAACAGACTTTTTGTAGAATCTGCAAGTGGACATTTGGGAAGCTTTGAGGCCTATGGTGGAAAATGATATACCTTCACATAAAAAGAAGACAGAAGCATTTTCAGAAACTTCTTTGTGATGTTTGCATTCAACTCACAGAGATGAAATACCTTTTCATAGCGCAGTTTTGAAAAAATCTTTTCGTAGTATCTGCAAGGGGATATTTGGACTGCTTTGAGGCCTTCAGTGGAAACAGAAATATCTTAACATAAAAATTAGACAGAAGCATTCTCAGAAACTTCTTTGTGATGAGGCCATTCAACTCACAGAGCTGAACCACTCTTTTGAAGGAGCAGTTTGAAACATTCTTTTTGTAGAATCTGCAAGTGGACATTTGGAGAGCTTTGAGGCCTACAGTGGAAAAAGAAATATCTTCACATAAAAACTGGACAGAAGCATTCTCAAAAACATCTTTGTGATATTTGCATTCAACTCACAGATTTGAAAATAACTTTTCGTAGAGCAGTTTTGAAACACTCTTTTTGTAGAATCTGCAAGAGGATATTTGGACTGCTTTAAGGACCTCGTTGGAAACGGGAATATCTTCACATAAAAACTAGACAGAAGCATTCTCAGAAACACCTTTGTGATGTGGGCATTCAACTCAGAGAGTTGAACCTTTCTTTTGATAGAGCAGTTTTGAAACACTGTTTTTATAGAATCTGCAAGTGGACATTTGGAGACTTTTGAAGCATATGGTGGAAATGGAAATACCTTCCCATGAAAACTAGACAGAAACATTCTCAGTACCTACTTTGTTATGTTTGCATTCAACTCACAGAGATGGACATACCTTTTCATAGAGCAGTTTTGGAAAACTCTTTTGGTAGAATATGCAAATGGATAATTGGAACGCTTTCAGGCCTTCGTTGGAAATGTGAATATCTTCAAATAAAAACTAGACAAAAGCATTCTCAGAAACTTCTTTGTGATGTGGGCATTCAACTCACAGGCTTGAACCTTTCCTTTCATAGAGCAGTCTTGAAACACTCTTTTTGAAGAATCAGCAAGTGGACATTTGGAGAGCTTTGAGGCCTATGGTGAGAAAGAAAATATCTTCACATAAAAACCAGACAGAAGCATTCTGAGAAACTTCTTTGTGCTGTTTGCATTCAACTCACAAAGTTGAAAATACCTTTTCATAGAGGAGTTTTGAAACACTCTTTTCGTACAATCTGCAAGTGGATATTTGGACTGCTTTTAGGTTTTCTTTGGAAACAGGAATATCTTTACATAAAAACTAGACAGATGCATTCTCAGAAAGTTGTTGGTGATGTGTGCATTCAACTCACAGATATGAACATACCTTGTCATAGAGCAGTTTTGAAACACTCGTTTCGTAGAATCTGCAAGTGGATATTTGGACTGCTTTGAGGCCTTCGTCGGAAACGGGAATATCTTCACATAAGAACTAGACAGAAGAATTCTGGGAAATTTCTTTGTGATGTGTGCATTCAACTCACAGAGTTGAACCTTTCTGTTGATAGAGCAGTTTGGAAACACTCTTTTCGCAAAATCTGCAAAGTGGATATTTGTACTGCTTAGAGGCCTTCGTTGGAAACGGGAATATCTCCACATAAAAACTAGACAGAAGCATTCTCAGAAACTTCTTTGTGATCTGCACATTCAACACAAAGAGTTGAGTCTTCCTTTTGATAGAGCAGTTTTTAAACACTCTTTTTGTAGAATCTGCAAGTGGACATTTGGAAAGCTTTGAGGCCTGTGGTGGAAAAGGAAATACCTTCACATAAAAACCAGATGGAAGCATTCTCAGAAACTTCTTTGTATTGTTTGCATTCAACCCACAGAGTTGAACATACCTTTTCACAGAGCAGTTTTGAAACACTCTTTTTGTAGAATCTGCAAGTGGATATACGGAGTGGTTTGAGGCCTTCTTTGTAAACGGGAATATCTTCACATAAAAACTAGAGAGAAGCATTCTCAGAGCCTTCTTTGTGATGTGTGCATTCAACTCACAGAGCTGAACCTTTCTTTTGATAGAGCTGTTTTGAAGCACTGTTTTTTTAGAATCTGCAGGTGGATATATGGAGTGCTTTGAGGCCTTCTTTGTAAACGGGAATATCTTCACATAAAAACTAGAGAGAAGCATTCTCAGAGCCTTCTTTGTGATGTGTGCATTCAACTCACAGAGCTGAACCTTTCTTTTGATAGAGCTGTTTTGAAGCACTGTTTTTATAGAATCTGCATGTGGAAATTTTCAGAGCTTCGAGGCCTGTGGTGGAGAAGGAAATATCTTCACATAAAAACTAGACAGAAGCATTCTCAGAAACTTGTTTGTGACGTTTGCATTCAACTCACAGAGTTGAACATACCTTTTCATAGAGCAATTTTGAAACACTCTTTTCGTAGGATCTGCAAATGGATATTTGGACTGCTTTGAGGCCTTCGTTGGAAAGAGGAATATCTTCACATAAAAACTAGACGGAAGCATTCTCAGAAACTTCTTTGTGATGTGTGAATTCAACTCACAGAGTTGAAGCTTTCTATTGATAGAGCAGTTTTGAAAAACCGTTTTTTGTAGAATCTGCCAGTGGACATTTGGAGAGCTTGGAGGCCTACGGTGGAAAAGGAAATATCTTCACATAAAAACCAGACACAAAGATTCTCAGAAACTTCTTTGTGACGCTTGCACTCAACTCACAGAGTTGAACACACCTTTTCATAGAGCAGTTTTGAAGCAGTCTTTTCGTAGAATCTGCAAGTGTATATTTGGAATGCTTTGAGGCCTTCATTGTAAACGAGAATATCTTCACATAAAAACGAGACAGAAGCATTCTCAGCAACTACTTTGTGATGATTGCATTCAACTCACTGTGTTAACCTTTATTTTGATAGGGCAGTTTTGAAACACTGTTTTTGTAGCATCTGCAAGTGGTCATTTGGAGAGCTTTGAGGCCTATGGTGGAAAAGGAAATATCTTCACATAAAAACAGGACAGAAGCATTTTCAGAATCTCCGCTCTGATGTTTGCATGGAACTCACACAGTTGAACGTCCCTTTTCATAGAGCAGTTTTGAAACACTCTTCGTAGAATCTGCCAGTGGATATTTGGACTGATTTGAGGCCTTTGTTGGACACGGGAGTATCTTCATATAAAAACTAGAAAGAAGAATTCTCAGAAACTTCTTTGTGATGTGTGCATTCAACTCAGAGAGTTGAACTTTTCTTTTGATAGAGCAGTTTTGAAACAGACTTTTTGCAGAATCTGCAAGTGGACATTTGGGAAGCTTTGAGGCCTATGGTGGAAAATGATATACCTTCACATAGAAACCAGACAGAAGCATTTTCAGAAACTTCTTTGCGATGTTTGCATTCAACTCACAGTGTTAACCTTTATTTTCATAGAACATTTTTGAAACACTCTTTTTGTAGCATCTGCAAGTGGTCATTTGGAGAGCTTTGAGGCCTATGGTGGAAAAGGAAATATCTCCACATAAAAACTGGACAGAAGCATTCTCAGAATCTCCTCTGTGATGTTTGCATTCAACTCACAGAGTTGAACATACCTTTTCATAGAGCAGTTTTGATACACTCCTTTCGTAGAATCCACAAGTGGATATTTGGACTGATTTGAGGCCTTTGTTGGAAACGGGAATACCTTCACATAAAATCTAGAAAGAAGAATTCTCAGAAACTTCTTTGTGATATGTGCATTCAACTCAGAGAGTTGAACTTTTGTTTTGATAGAGCAGTTTTGAAACAGACATTTGTAGAATCTGCAAGTGGACATTTGGGAAGCTTTGAGGCCTATGGTGGAAAATGATATACCTTCACATAAAAAGAAGACAGAAGCATTTTCAGAAACTTCTTTGTGATGTTTGCATTCAACTCACAGAGATGAAATACCTTTTCATAGCGCAGTTTTGAAAAACTCTTTTCGTAGTATCTGCAAGGGGATATTTGGACTGCTTTGAGGCCTTCAGTGGAAACAGAAATATCTTAACATAAAAATTAGACAGAAGCATTCTCACAAACTTCTTTGTGATGAGGCCATTCAACTCAAAGAGCTGAACCACTCTTTTGAAGGAGCAGTTTGAAACATTGTTTTTGTAGAATCTGCAAGTGCAAAGCCAAGAGAGCTTTGAGGCCTACAGTGGAAAAGGAAATATCTTCACATAAAAACTGGACAGAAGCATTCTCAAAAACATCTTTGTGATATTTGCATTCAACTCACAGAGTTGAAAATAACTTTTCGTAGAGCAGTTTTGAAACACTCTTTTTGTAGAATCTGCAAGAGGATATTTGGACTGCTTTAAGGACCTCGTTGGAAACGGGAATATCTTCACATAAAAAGTAGACAGAAGCATTCTCAGAAACACCTTTTTTGATGTGGGCATTCAACTCAGAGATTTGAACCTTTCTTTTGATAGAGCAGTTTTGAAGCACTTACTTTGTACAATCTGCAAGTGGACATTTGGAGAGCTTTGAGGCCTACGGTGGAAAAGGAAATAGCCTCACATAAAAACTAGATAGAAACATTCTCATTACCTACTTTGTTATGTTTGCATTCAACTCACAGAGATGGACATACCTTTTCATAGAGCAGTTTTGGAAAACTCTTTCGGTGGAATATGCAAATGGATAATTGGAACGCTTTCAGGCCTTCGTTGGAAATGTGAATATCTTCAAATAAAAACTAGACAAAAGCATTCTCAGAAACTTCTTTGTGATGTGGGCATTCAACTCACAGACTTGAACCTTTCTTTTCATAGAGCAGTCTTGAAACACTCTTTTTGAAGAATCGGCAAGTGGACATTTGGAGAGCTTTGAGGCCTATGGTGAGAAAGAAAATATCTTCACATAAAAACCAGACAGAAGCATTCTGAGAAACTTTTTTGTGCTGTTTGCATTCAACTCACAAAGTTGAAAATACCTTTTCATAGAGGAGTTTTGAAACACTCTTTTCGTAGAATCTGCAAGTGGATATTTGGACTGCTTTTAGGTTTTCTTTGGAAACAGGAATATCTTTACATAAAAACTAGACAGATGCATTCTCAGAAAGTTCTTTGTGATGTGTGCATTCAACTCACAGATTTGAACATACCTTGTCATAGAGCAGTTTTGAAACACTCGTTTCGTAGAATCTGCAAGTGGATATTTGGACTGCTTTGAGGCCTTCGTCGGAAACGGGAATATCTTCACATAAGAACTAGACAGAAGAATTCTGGGAAATTTCTTTGTGATGTGTGCATCCAACTCACAGAGTTGAACCTTTCTGTTGATAGAGCAGTTTGGAAACACTCTTTTGGCAAAATCTGCAGAGTGGATATTTGTACTGCTTAGAGGCCTTCGTTGGAAACGGGAATGTCTCCACATAAAAACTAGACAGAAGCATTCTCAGAAACTTCTTTGTGATCTGCACATTCAACACAAAGAGTTGAATCTTCCTTTTGAGAGAGCAGTTTTTAAACACTCTTTTTGTAGAATCTGCAAGTGGACATTTGGAAAGCTTTGAGGCCTGTGGTGGAAAAGGAAATACCTTCACATAAAAACCAGATGGAAGCATTCTCAGAAACTTCTTTGTATTGTTTGCATTCAACCCACAGAGTTGAACATACCTTTTCACAGAGCAGTTTTGAAACACTCCTTTTGTAGAATCTGTAAGTTGATATATGGAGTGCTTTGAGGCCTTCTTTGTAAACGGGAATATCTTCACATAAAAACTAGAGAGAAGCATTCTCAGAGCCTTCTTTGTGATGTGTGCATTCAACTCACAGAGCTGAACCTTTCTTTTGATAGAGCTGTTTTGAAGCACTGTTTTTTTAGAATCTGCAAGTGGATATATTGAGTGCTTTGAGGCCTTCTTTGTAAACGGGAATATCTTCACATAAAAACTAGAGAGAAGCATTCTCAGAGCCTTCTTTGTGATGTGTGCATTCAGCTCACGGAGCTGAACCTTTCTTTTGATAGAGCTGTTTTGAAGCACTGTTTTTTTAGAATCTGCATGTGGAAATTTTCAGAGCTTCGAGGCCTGTGGTGGAGAAGGAAATATCTTCACATAAAAACTAGACAGAAGCATTCTCAGAAACTTGTTTGTGACGTTTGCATTCAACTCACAGAGTTGAACATACCTTTTCATAGAGCAGTTTTGAAACACTCTTTTCGTAGGATCTGCAAATGGATATTTGGACTGCTTTGAGGCCTTCGTTGGAAAGAGGAATATCTTCACATAAAAACTAGAAGGAAGCATTCTCAGAAACTTCTTTGTGATGTGTGAATTCAACTCACAGAGTTGAAGCTTTCTATTGATAGAGCAGTTTTGAAAAACCGTTTTTGTAGAATCTGCCAGTGGATATTTGGAGAGCTTTGAGGCCTACGGTGGAAAAGGAAATATCTTCACATAAAAACCAGACACAAAGATTCTCAGAAACTTCTTTGTGACGTTTGCATTCAACTCACAGAGTTGAACACACCTTTTCATAGAGCAGTTTTGAAGCAGTCTTTTCGTAGAATCTGCAAGTGTATATTTGGAATGCTTTGAGGCCTTCATTGTAAACGAGAATATCTTCACATAAAAACGAGACAGAAGCATTCTCAGCAACTACTTTGTGATGATTGCATTCAACTCACTGTGTTAACCTTTATTTTGATAGGGCAGTTTGGAAACACTGTTTTTGTAGCATCTGCAAGTGGTCATTTGGAGAGCTTTGAGGCCTATGGTGGAAAAGGAAATATCTTCACATAAAAACAGGACAGAAGCATTTTCAGAATCTCCGCTGTGATGTTTGCATTCAACTCACAGAGTTGAACGTCCCTTTTCATAGGGCAGTTTTGAAACACTCTTCGTAGAATCTGCCAGTGGATATTTGGACTGATTGGAGGCCTTTGTTGGACACGGGAATATCTTCATATAAAAACTAGAAAGAAGAATTCTCAGAAACTTCTTTGTGATGTGTGCATTCAACTCAGCAGCAGTTGAACTTTTCTTTTGATAGAGCAGTTTTGAAACAGACTTTTTGCGGAATCTGCAAGTGGACATTTGGGAAGCTTTGAAGCCTATGGTGGAAAATGATATACCTTCACATAAAAACCAGACAGATGCATTTTCAGAAACTTCTTTGCGATGTTTGCATTCAACTCATAGTGTTAACCTTTATTTTCATAGAACAGTTTTGAAACACTGTTTTTGTAGCATCTGCAAGTGGTCATTTGGAGAGCTTTGAGGCCTATGGTGGAAAAGGAAATATCTCCACATAAAAACTGGACAGAAGCATTCTCAGAATCTCCTCTGTGATGTTTGCATTCAACTCACAGAGTTGAACATACCTTTTCATAGAGCAGTTTTGAAACACTCTTTTCGTAGAATCCACAAGTGGATATTTGGACTGATTTGAGGCCTTTGTTGGAAACGGGAATACCTTCACATAAAATCTAGAAAGAAGAATTCTCAGAAACTTCTTTGTGATGTGTGCATTCAACTCAGAGAGTTGAACTTTTCTTTTGATAGAGCAGTTTTGAAACAGACTTTTTGCAGAATCTGCAAGTGGACATTTGGGAAGCTTTGAGGCCTATGGTGGAAAATGATATACCTTCACATAAAAAGAAGACAGAAGCATTTTCAGAAACTTCTTTGTGATGTTTGCATTCAAGTCACAGAGATGAAATACCTTTTCATAGCGCAGTTTTGAAAACCTCTTTTCGTAGTATCTGCAAGGGGATATTTGGACTGCTTTGAGGCCTTCAGTGGAAACAGAAATATCTTAACATAAAAATTAGACAGAAGCATTCTCAGAAACTTCTTTGTGATGAGGCCATTCAACTCACAGAGCTGAACCAGTCTTTTGAAGGAGCAGTTTGAAACATTCTTTTTGTAGAATCTGCAAGTGCAAAGCCAAGAGAGCTTTGAGGCCTACAGTGGAGAAGGAAATATCTTCACATAAAAACTGGACAGAAGCATTCTCAAAAACATCTTTGTGATATTTGCATTCAACTCACAGAGTTGAAAATAACTTTTCATAGAGCAGTTTTGAAACACTCTTTTTGTAGAATCTGCAAGAGGATATTTGGACTGCTTTAAGGACCTCGTTGGAAACGGGAATATCTTCACATAAAAACTAGACAGAAGCATTCTCAGAAACACCTTTGTGATGTGGGCATTCAACTCAGAGAGTTGAACCTTTCTTTTGATAGAGCTGTTTTGAAACACTGTTTTTATAGAATCTGCAAGTGGACATTTGGAGACTTTTGAAGCATATGGTGGAAATGGAAATACCTTCCCATGAAAACTAGACAGAAACATTCTCAGTACCTACTTTGTTATGTTTGCATTCAACTCACAGAGATGGACATACCTTTTCATAGAGCAGTTTTGGAAAACTCTTTTGGTGGAATATGCAAATGGATAATTGGAACGCTTTCAGGCCTTCGTTGGAAATGTGAATATCTTCAAATAAAAACTAGACAAAAGCATTCTCAGAAACTTCTTTGTGATGTGGGCATTCAACTCACAGACTTGAACCTTTCTTTTCATAGAGCAGTCTTGAAACACTCTTTTTGAAGAATCGGCAAGTGGACATTTGGAGAGCTTTGAGGCCTATGGTGAGAAAGAAAATATCTTCACATAAAAGCCAGACAGAAGCATTCTGAGAAACTTCTTTGTGCTGTTTGCATTCAACTCACAAAGTTGAAAATACCTTTTCATAGAGGAGTTTTGAAACACTCTTTTCATAGAATCTGCAAGTGGATATTTGGACTGCTTTTAGGTTTTCTTTGGAAACAGGAATATCTTTACATAAACACTAGACAGATGCATTCTCAGAAAGTTCTTTGTGATGTGTGCATTCAACTCACAGATTTGAACATATCTTGTCATAGAGCAGTTTTGAAACACTCGTTTCGTAGAATCTGCAAGTGGATATTTGGACTGCTTTGAGGCCTTCGTCGGAAACGGGAATATCTTCACATAAGAACTAGACAGAAGAATTCTGGGAAATTTCTTTGTGATGTGTGCATGCAACTCACAGAGTTGAAACTTTCTGTTGATAGAGCAGTTTGGAAACACTCTTTTCGCAAAATCTGCAAAGTGGATATTTGTATTGCTTAGAGGCCTTCGTTGGAAACGGGAATATCTCCACATAAAAACTAGACAGAAGCATTCTCAGAAACTTCTTTGTATTGTTTGCATTCAACCCACAGAGTTGAACATACCTTTTCACAGAGCAGTTTTTAAACACTCTTTTTGTAGAATCTGCAAGTGGACATTTGGAAAGCTTTGAGGCCTGTGGTGGAAAAGGAAATACCTTCACATAAAAACCAGATGGAAGCATTCTCAGAAACTTCTTTGTATTGTTTGCATTCAACCCACAGAGTTGAACATACCTTTTCACAGAGCAGTTTTGAAACACTCTTTTTGTAGAATCTGCAAGTGGATATATGGAGTGCTTTGAGGCCTTCTTTGTAAACGGGAATATCTTCACATAAAAACTAGAGAGAAGCATTCTCAGAGCCTTCTTTGTGATGTGTGCATTCAACTCACAGAGCTGAACCTTTCTTTTGATAGAGCTGTTTTGAAGCACTGTTTTTTTAGAATCTGCAAGTGAATATATTGAGTGCTTTGAGGCCTTCTTTGTAAACGGGAATATCTTCACATAAAAACTAGAGAGAAGCATTCTCAGAGCCTTCTTTGTGATGTGTGCATTCAACTCACAGAGCTGAACCTTTCTTTTGATAGAGCTGTTTTGAAGCACTGTTTTTTTAGAATCTGCATGTGGAAATTTTCAGAGCTTCGAGGCCTGTGGTGGAGAAGGAAATATCTTCACATAGAAACTAGACAGAAGCATTCTCAGAAACTTGTTTGTGACGTTTGCATTCAACTCACAGAGTTGAACATACCTTTTCATAGAGCAGTTTTGAAACACTCTTTTCGTAGGATCTGCAAATGGATATTTGGACTGCTTTGAGGCCTTCGTTGGAAAGAGGAATATCTTCACATAAAAACTAGACGGAAGCATTCTCAGAAACTTGTTTGTGATGTGTGAATTCAACTCACAGAGTTGAAGCTTTCTATTGATAGAGCAGTTTTGAAAAACCGTTTTTGTAGAATCTGCCAGTGGACATTTGGAGAGCTTGGAGGCCTACGGTGGAAAAGGAAATATCTTCACATAAAAACCAGACACAAAGATTCTCAGAAACTTCTTTGTGACGTTTGCATTCAACTCACAGAGTTGAACACACCTTTTCATAGAGCAGTTTTGAAGCACTCTTTTCGTAGAATCTGCAAGTGTATATTTGGAATGCTTTGAGGCCTTCATTGTAAACGACAATATCTTCACATGAAAACGAGACAGAAGCATTCTCAGCAACTACTTTGTGATGATTGCATTCAACTCACTGTGTTAACCTTTATTTTGATAGGGCAGTTTGTAAACACTGTTTTGGTAGCATCTGCAAGTGTTCATTTGGAGAGCTTTGAGGCCTATGGTGGAAAATGATATACCTTCACATATAAACCAGACAGAAACATTTTCAGAATCTCCGCTGTGATGTTTGCATTGAACTCACAGAGTTGAACGTCCCCTTTCATAGAGCAGTTTTGAAACACTTTTCGTAGAATCTGCCAGTGGATATTTGGACTGATTGGAGGCCTTTGTTGGACACGGGAATATCTTCATATAAAAACTAGAAAGAAGAATTCTCAGAAACTTCTTTGTGATGTGTGCATTCAACTCAGAGAGTTGAACTTTTCTTTTGATAGAGCAGTTTTGCAACAGACTTTTTGCAGAATCTGCAAGTGGACATTTGGGAAGCTTTGAGGCCTATGGTGGAAAATGATATACCTTCACATAAAAACCAGACAGAAGCATTCTCAGCAACTAATTTGTGATGATTGCATTCAACTCACAGTGTTAACCTTTATTTTCATAGAACAGTTTTGAAACACTGTTTTTGTAGCATCTGCAAGTGGTCATTTGGAGAGCTTTGAGGCCTATGGTGGAAAAGGAAATATCTCCACATAAAAACTGGACAGAAGCATTCTCAGAATCTCCTCTGTGATGTTTGCATTCAACTCACTCAGTTGAACATACCTTTTCATAGAGCAGTTTTGAAACACTCTTTTCGTAGAATCCACAAGTGGATATTTGGACTGATTTGAGGCCTTTGTTGGAAACGGGAATACCTTCACATAAAATCTAGAAAGAAGAATTCTCAGAAACTTCTTTGTGATATGTGCATTCAACTCAGAGAGTTGAACTTTTCTTTCGATAGAGCAGTTTTGAAACAGACTTTTTGTAGAATCTGCAAGTGGACATTTGGGAAGCTTTGAGGCCTATGGTGGAAAATGATATACCTTCACATAAAAAGAAGACAGAAGCATTTTCAGAAACTTCTTTGTGATGTTTGCATTCAACTCACAGAGATGAAATACCTTTTCATAGCGCAGTTTTGAAAAACTCTTTCCGTAGTATCTGCAAGGGGATATTTGGACTGCTTTGAGGCCTTCAGTGGAAACAGAAATATCTTAACATAAAAATTAGACAGAAGCATTCTCAGAAACTTCTTTGTGATGAGGCCATTCAACTCACAGAGCTGAACCACTCTTTTGAAGGAGCAGTTTGAAACATTCTTTTTGTAGAATCTGCAAGTGCAAAGCCAAGAGAGCTTTGAGGCCTACAGTGGAAAAGGAAATATCTTCACATAAAAACTGAACAGAAGCATTCTCAAAAACATCTTTGTGATATTTGCATTCAACTCACAGAGTTGAAAATAACTTTTCGTAGAGCAGTTTTGAAACACTCTTTTTGTAGAATCTGCAAGAGGATATTTGGACTGCTTTAAGGACCTCGTTGGAAACGGGAATATCTTCACATAAAAACTAGAGAGAAGCATTCTCCGAAACACCTTTGTGATGGGGGCATTCAACACAGAGAGTTGAACCTTTCTTTTGATAGAGCAGTTTTGAAACACTGTTTTTATAGAATCTGCAAGTGGACATTTGGAGACTTTTGAAGCATATGGTGGAAATGGAAATACCTTCCCATGAAAACTAGACAGAAACATTCTCAGTACCTACTTTGTTATGTTTGCATTCAACTCACAGAGATGGACATACCTTTTCATAGAGCAGTTTTGGAAAACTCTTTTGGTAGAATATGCAAATGCATAATTGGAACGCTTTCAGGCCTTCGTTGGAAATGTGAATATCTTCAAATAAAAACTAGACAAAAGCATTCTCAGAAACTTCTTTGTGATGTGGGCATTCAACTCACAGACTTGAACCTTTCTTTTCATAGAGCAGTCTTGAAACACTCTTTTTGAAGAATCTGCAAATGGACATTTGGAGAGCTTTGAGGCCTATGGTGAGAAAGAAAATATCTCCACATAAAAACCAGACAGAAGCATTCTGAGAAACTTCTTTGTGCTGTTTGCATTCAACTCACAAAGTTGAAAATACCTTTTCATAGAGGAGTTTTGAAACACTCTTTTCGTAGAATCTGCAAGTGGATATTTGGACTGCTTTTAGGTTTTCTTTGGAAACAGGAATATCTTTACATAAACACTAGACAGATGCATTCTCAGAAAGTTCTTTGTGATGTGTGCATTCAACTCACAGATTTGAACATACCTTGTCATAGAGCAGTTTTGAAACACTCGTTTCGTAGAATCTGCAAGTGGATATTTGGACTGCTTTGAGGCCTTCATCGGAAACGGGAATATCTTCACATAAGAACTAGACAGAAGAATTCTGGGAAATTTCTTTGTGATGTGTGCATTCAACTCACAGAGTTGAACCTTTCTGTTGATAGAGCAGTTTGGAAACACTCTTTTCGCAAAATCTGCAGAGTGGATATTTGTACTGCTTAGAGGCCTTCGTTGGAAACGGGAATATCTCCACATAAAAACTAGACAGAAGCATTCTCAGAAACTTCCTTGTATTGTTTGCATTCAACCCACAGAGTTGAACATACCTTTTCACAGAGCAGTTTTTAAACACTCTTTTTGTAGAATCTGCAAGTGGACATTTGGAAAGCTTTCAGGCCTGTGGTGGAAAAGGAAATACCTTCACATAAAAACCAGATGGAAGCATTCTCAGAAACTTCTTTGTATTGTTTGCATTCAACCCACAGAGTTGAACATACCTTTTCACAGAGCAGTTTTGAAACACTCTTTTTGTAGAATCTGCAAGTGGATATATGGAGTGCTTTGAGGCCTTCTTTTTAAACGGGAATATCTTCACATAAAAACTAGAGAGAAGCATTCTCAGAGCCTTCTTTGTGATGTGTGCATTCAACTCACAGAGCTGAACCTTTCTTTTGATAGAGCTGTTTTGAAGCACTGTTTTTTTAGAATCTGCAAGTGGATATATGGAGTGCTTTGAGGCCTTCTTTGTAAACGGGAATATCTTCACATAAAAACTAGAGAGAAGCATTCTCAGAACCTTCTTTGTGATGTGTGCATTCAACTCACGGAGCTGAACCTTTCTTTTGATAGAGCTGTTTTGAAGCACTGTTTTTTTAGAATCTGCATGTGGAAATTTTCAGAGCTTCGAGGCCTGTGGTGGAGAAGGAAATATCTTCACATAAAAACTAGACAGAAGCATTCTCAGAAATTTGTTTGTGACGTTTGCATTCAACTCACAGAGTTGAACATACCTTTTCATAGAGCAGTTTTGAAACACTCTTTTCGTAGGATCTGCAAATGGATATTTGGACTGCTTTGAGGCCTTCGTTGGAAAGAGGAATATCTTCACATAAAAACTAGACGGAAGCATTCTCAGAAACTTCTTTGTGATGTTTGAATTCAACTCTCAGAGTTGAAGGTTTCTATTGATAGAGCAATTTTGAAAAACCGTTTTTGTAGAATCTGTCAGTGGACATTTGGAGAGCTTGGAAGCCTGCGGTGGAAAAGGAAATATCTTCACATAAAAACCAGACACAAGAATTCTCAGAAACTTCTTTGTGATGTTTGCATTCAACGAAGAGAGTTGAACATACCTTTTCATAGAGCAGTTTTGAAACACTCTTTTCGTAGAATCTGCAAGTGTATATTTGGACTGCTTTGAGGCCTTCATTGTAAACGAGAATATCTTCACATAAAAACGAGACAGAAGCATTCTCAGCAACTACTTTGTGATGATTGCATTCAACTCACTGTGTTAACCTTTATTTTGATAGGGCAGTTTTGAAACACTGTTTTTGTAGCATCTGCAAGTGGTCATTTGGAGAGCTTTGAGGCCTATGGTGGAAAAAGAAATATCTTCACATAAAAACAGGACAGAAGCATTTTCAGAATCTCCGCTGTGATGTTTGCATTGAACTCACAGAGTTGAACGTCCCCTTTCATAGAGCAGTTTTGAAACACTCTTCGTAGAATCTGCCAGTGGATATTTGGACTGATTTGAGGCCTTTGTTGGACACGGGAATATCTTCATATAAAAACTAGAAAGAAGCATTCTCAGCAACTACTTTGTGATGATTGCATTCAACTCACTGTGTTAACCTTTATTTTGATAGGGCAGTTTGTAAACACTGTTTTGGTAGCATCTGCAAGTGTTCTTTTGGAGAGCTTTGAGGCCTATGGTGGAAAATGATATACCTTCACATATAAACCAGACAGAAGCATTTTCAGAAACTTCTTTGCGATGTTTGCATTCAACTCACAGTGTTAACCTTTATTTTCATAGAACAGTTTTGAAACACTGTTTTTGTAGCATCTGCAAGTGGTCATTTGGAGAGCTTTGAGGCCTATGGTGGAAAAGGAAATATCTCCACATAAAAACTGGACAGAAGCATTCTCAGAATCTCCTCTGTGAAGTTTGCATTCAACTCACAGAGTTGAACATACCTTTTCATAGAGCAGTTTTGAAACACTCTTTTCGTAGAATCCACAAGTGGATATTTGGACTGATTTGAGGCCTTTGTTGGAAACGGGAATACCTTCACATAAAATATAGAAAGAAGAATTCTCAGAAACTTCTTTGTGATATGTGCATTCAACTCAGAGAGTTGAACTTTTCTTTTGATAGAGCAGTTTTGAAACAGACTTTTTGTAGAATCTGCAAGTGGACATTTGGGAAGCTTTGAGGCCTATGGTGGAAAATGATATACCTTCACATAAAAAGAAGACAGAAGCATTTTCAGAAACTTCTTGTGATGTTTGCATTCAAGTCACAGAGATGAAATACCTTTTCATAGCGCAGTTTTGAAAAACTCTTTCCGTAGTATCTGCAAGGGGATATTTGGACTGCTTTGAGGCCTTCAGTGGAAACAGAAATATCTTAACATAAAAATTAGACAGAAGCATTCTCAGAAACTTCTTTGTGATGAGGCCATTCAACTCACAGAGCTGAACCACTCTTTTGAAGGAGCAGTTTGAAACATTCTTTTTGTAGAATCTGCAAGTGCAAAGCCAAGAGAGCTTTGAGGCCTACAGTGGAAAAGGAAATATCTTCACATAAAAACTGGACAGAAGCATTCTCAAAAACATCTTTGTGATATTTGCATTCAACTCACAGAGTTGAAAATAACTTTTCGTAGAGCAGTTTTGAAACACTCTTTTTGTAGAATCTGCAAGAGGATATTTGGACTGCTTTAAGGACCTCGTTGGAAACGGGAATATCTTCACATAAAAACTAGACAGAAGCATTCTCGGAAACACCTTTGTGATGTGGGCATTCAACTCAGAGAGTTGAACATTTCTTTTGATAGAGCAGTTTTGAAACACTGTTTTTATAGAATCTGCAAGTGGACATTTGGAGACTTTTGAAGCATATGGTGGAAATGGAAATACCTTCCCATGAAAACTAGACAGAATCATTCTCAGTACCTACTTTGTTAGGTTTGCATTCAACTCACAGAGATGGACATACCTTTTCATAGAGCAGTTTTGGAAAACTCTTTTGGTAGAATATGCAAATGGATAATTGGAACGCTTTCAGGCCTTCGTTGGAAATGTGAATATCTTCAAATAAAAACTAGACAAAAGCATTCTCAGAAACTTCTTTGTGATGTGGGCATTCAACTCACAGTACTTGAACCTTTCTTTTCATAGACCAGTCTTGAAACACTCTTTTTGAAGAATCTGCAAGTGGACATTTGGAGAGCTTTGAGGCCTATGGTGAGAAAGAAAATATCTTCACATAAAAACCAGACAGAAGCATTCTGAGAAACTTCTTTGTGCTGTTTGCATTCAACTCACAAAGTTGAAAATACCTTTTCATAGAGGAGTTTTGAAACACTCTTTTCGTAGAATCTGCAAGTGGATATTTGGACTGCTTTTAGGTTTTCTTTGGAAACAGGAATATCTTTACATAAAAACTAGACAGATGCATTCTCAGAAAGTTCTTTGTGATGTGTGCATTCAAATCACAGATTTGAACATACCTTGTCATAGAGCAGTTTTGAAACACTCGTTTCGTAGAATCTGCAAGTGGATATTTGGACTGCTTTGAGGCCTTCGTCGGAAACGGGAATATCTTCACATAAGAACTAGACAGAAGAATTCTGGGAAATTTCTTTGTGATGTGTGCATTCAACTCACAGAAGTTGAACCTTTCTGTTGATAGAGCAGTTTGGAAACACTCTTTTCGCAAAATCTGCAAAGTGGATATTTGTACTGCTTAGAGGCCTTCGTTGGAAACGGGAATATCTCCACATAAAAACTAGACAGAAGCATTCTCAGAAACTTCTTTGTGATCTGCACATTCAACACAAAGAGTTGAATCTTCCTTTTGATAGAGCAGTTTTTAAACACTCTTTTTGTAGAATCTGCAAGTGGACATTTGGAAAGCTTTGAGGCCTGTGGTGGAAAAGGAAATACCTTCACATAAAAACCAGATGGAAGCATTCTCAGAAACTTCTTTGTATTGTTTGCATTCAACCCACAGAGTTGAACATACCTTTTCACAGAGCAGTTTTGAAACACTCTTTTTGTAGAATCTGTAAGTTGATATATGGAGTGCTTTGAGGCCTTCTTTGTAAACGGGAATATCTTCACATAAAAACTAGACAGAAGCATTCTCAGAGCCGTCTTTGTGATGTGTGCATTCAACTTACAGAGCTGAACCTTTCTTTTGATAGAGCTGTTTTGAAGCACTGTTTTTTTAGAATCTGCAAGTGGATATATTGAGTGCTTTGAGGCCTTCTTTGTAAACGGGAATATCTTCACATAAAAACTAGAGAGAAGCATTCTCAGAGCCTTCTTTGTGATGTGTGCATTCAACTCACAGAGCTGAACCTTTCTTTTGATAGAGCTGTTTTGAAGCACTGTTTTTTTAGAATCTGCATGTGGAAATTTTCAGAGCTTCGAGGCCTGTGGTGGAGAAGGAAATATCTTCACATAAAAACTAGACAGAAGGATTCTCAGAAACTTCTTTGTGATGGTTGCATTCAACTCACAGAATTAAACATACCTTTTCATAGAGAAGTTTTGAAACACACTTTTCGTAGAATCTGCAAATGGATATTTGGACGGCTTTGAGGCCTTCGTTGGAAATGGGAAAATCTTCACATAAAAACGAAACAGAAGCATTCTCAGAAACTTCTTTGTGATGTGTGAATTCAACTCTCAGAGTTGAAGCTTTCTATTGATAGAGCAGTTTTGAAAAACCGTTTTTGTAGAATCTGCCAGTGGACATTTGGAGAGCTTTGAGGCCTACGGTGGAAAAGGAAATATCTTCACATAAAAACCAGACACAAAGATTCTCAGAAACTTCTTTGTGACGTTTGCATTCAACTCACAGAGTTGAACACACCTTTTCATAGAGCTGTTTTGAAGCACTCTTTTCGTAGAATCTGCAAGTGTATATTTGGAATGCTTTGAGGCCTTCATTGTAAACGAGAATATCTTCACATGAAAACGAGACAGAAGCATTCTCAGCAACGACTTTGTGATGATTGCATTCAACTCACTGTGTTAACCTTTATTTTGATAGGGCAGTTTTGAAACACTGTTTTTGTAGCATCTGCAAGTGGTGATTTGGAGAGCTTTGAGGCCTATGGTGGAAAAGGAAATATCTTCACATAAAAACAGGACAGAAGCATTTTCAGAATCTCCGCTGTGATGTTTGCATTGAACTCACAGAGTTGAACGTCCCTTTTCATAGAGCAGTTTTGAAACACTCTTCGTAGAATCTGCCAGTGGATATTTGGACTGATTGGAGGCCTTTGTTGGACACGGGAATATCTTCATATAAAAACTAGAAAGA
>NC_000022.11:13248182-13254852 GCF_000001405.40 Homo sapiens
AGCATTCATAGAAACTTCTTTGTGATGTATGCATTCAACTCACAGAGTTGAAACTATCTTATTATTGAGCAGTTTTGAATCTCTCTTTTTGCAGAATCTGCAACTGGATATTTGGAGCGCTTTGAGGCCTACCGTGGAAAAGCAAATATCTTCAGATAAAAGCTACACAGAAGCTTTCTGAGAAACTTTTTTGCGATGTGTGCATTCAACTCACAGAGTTGAAACTTTCTTTTGATTGAGCAGATTTGAAACACTCTTTTTGTAGAAACTGTAAGTTGATATTTGGAGCCCTTTGAGGCCTATTGTGGAAAAGGAAATATCTTCACGTAAAAACTACATAGAACCATTCTGAGATACTTCTTTTTGATGTTTGCATTCATCTCACAGTGTTGAAAGTTTCTTTTGATTGAGCAGTTTTGAAACACTCTTTTTGTAGAATCTGCAAGTGAATAATTGGAGCCCTTTGAGGGCTATGGTAGAAAAGGAAATATCTTCAAATAAGAACTACAAAGAAACATTCTCAGAAACTTATTTGTGATGTGAGCATTCAACTCACAGACCTGAACATATCTTTTGATTTAGCACTTTTGAATTTCTCTTTTTGTAGAATTTGCAAGTGGATATTTGGAGCGCTGTGAGACCTACTGTGGGAAATGAAATATGTTCACATAAAAACTACTCAGAACCATTCTGAGAAACTTCTTTGTGTCGTGTGCATTCGACTCACAGAGTTGAACATATGTCCTCTTTGAGCAGTTTTGCGTCTCTCTTTTTGTAGAATGTACAAGTGGATATTTGGAGCCCATTGTGTCCTATGGTGGAAAAGGAAATATCTTCAGATAAAAATTACACAGAAGAATTCTGAGAAACTTCTTTGTGATATGTGCATTTATCTCACAGGTTTGAACCTACCGTTTTATTGAGCAGTTTTGAAACACTGTTTTTGTAGAATCTGCAAGTGGATATTTAGAGGGAATTGAGGCCTACCGTGGAAAAGCATATACCTACAAACAAAAACTAAACAGAAGCATTCTGAGAAACTTCTTAGTGATGTGTGCATTCGTCTCACAGAGTTGAAACTTTCCTTTGATTGAGCAGTTTTGAAACACTCTTTTTGTAGAATCTGCAACTGGATATTTGGAGCCCTTTGAGGAATATTGTGGAAAAGGAAATATCTTCACATAAAAACTACACAGAAGCATTCTGAGAAACTTCTTTATGAGGAGTCCATTCAACCCACAGAGTTAAACTTTTCTTCTCATTGAGCAGTTTTGAATCTCTCTATTTGTAGAATCTGCAAGTGGATATTTGCTGCCCTTTGAGGCATACTGAGGAAAAGCAAATATCTTCATATAAAAACTACACAGAAGCATTCTGAGAAACTTCTTTGGGATGTGTGCATTCAACTCACAGAGTTGAACCTATCTTTTGATTGAGCAGATTTGAATCTCTCTTTTGGCAGAAACTGCAAGTAGATATTTGGAGCCATTTGCGGCCTTTTGTGGAAAAAGAAATATTTTCAAATAAAAACTAAACAGAAACATACTGAGAAACTTCTTTGTGATGTGTGCATTCATCTCACAGGGTTGAAACTATCTTATGATTGAGCAGTTTTGAAACACTCTTTTTGTAGAATCTGCAACTGGATATTTGGAGCCCTTTGAGGGCTATTGTGGAAAAGTAAATATCTTCACATAAAAACTATTCAGGAGCATTCTGATAAACTTCTTTGTGATGTATGCATTCAACTCACAGACTTGAACCTATCTTAAGAATGAGCAGTTTTGAATCTCTCTTTTTGCAGAATCTGCAACTGGATATTTTGAGGGCCTTAAGGCCTACCGTGGAAAAGCAATTATCTTCAGATTAAAACTACACAGAAGCATTCAGAGAAACATCTTTGTGATGTTTGCATTCATCTCACAGAGTTAAAACTTTCTCTTGATGGAGCAGTTTTGAAACACTCTTTTTGTAGAATCTGCAAGTGGATATTTGGAGCCCTTTGAGGCCTGTTGTGGAAAAGGAAATATCTTCCCATGAAAACTACATAGAAGTATTCTGAGAAACTTCTTTGCAATGTGTGCATTCAACTCACAAGAGTTGAACCTATCTTTTGATTGAGGATTTTTGAATCTTTCTTTTTGCAGAATCTGCAAGTGTATGTTTGCAAAGCTTTGTGGCCTATTGTGGAAAAGGAAATGTCTTCACATAAAAACTACACATAAATATTCTGGGAAAGTTCTTTGTGGTGCGTGCATTCATGTCATAGAGTTGAAACTTTCTTTTGATGGAGCAGTTTTGAAACACTCTTTTTGTACAATCTGCTAGTGGATAATTGGAGCCCTTTGAGGACTATTGTGGAAAAGGAAATATCTTCAAATAAAAACTACACAGAAGCATTCTGATAAACTTCTTTCTGATGTGTGCATTCAACTCACAGAGTTGAACCTATATTTTGATTGAGCAGTTTAGAAGCTCTCTTTTTGCAGAATCTGCAAGTGGATGTTTGGAGAGCTTTGAAACCTATTATGGAAAAGCAAATATCTTCACATAAAAACTACACAGAAGCATTCTGAGAAACTTCTCTGTGAGGTGTGCACTCAACCCACAGAGTTTAACTTATTTTCTCATTGAGCAGTTTTGAATCTCTCTTTTTATAAAATCTGCAGGTAGATATTTGGAGCTCTTTGAGCCCCATGGTGGAAAAGGAGATATCTTCAAATAAAAACTACACAGAAGCATTCATAGAAATTTCTTTGTGATGTATGCATTCAACTCACAGAGTTGAAACTATCTTATTATTGAGCAGTTTTTAATCTCTCTTTTGCAGAATCTGCAAGTGGATATTTGGAGCGCTTTGAGGCCTACTGTGGAAAAGCAAATAACTTCAGATAAAAGCTACACAAAAGCTTTCTGAGAAACTTTTTTGCGATGTGTGCATTCAACTCACAGAGTTGAAACTTTCTTTTGATTGAGCAGATTTGAAACACTCTTTTTGTAGAAACTGTAAGTTGATATTTGGAGCCCTTTGAGGCCTATTGTGGAAAAGGAAATATCTTCACATAAAAACTACATAGAATCATTCTGAGATACTTCTTTGTGATGCTTGCATTCATCTAACAATGTTGAAACTTTCTTTTCATTGAGCAGTTTTGAAACACTCTTTTTGTAGAATCTGCAAGTGGAATAATTGGATCCCTTTGCGCCCTGTGGTGGAGAAGGAAATATCTTCAAATAAGAACTACACAGAAACATTCTCAGAAACTTATTTGTGATGTGTGCATTCAACTCACAGGGCTGAACATATCTTTTGATTTAGCAGTTTTGAATTTCTCTTTTGGCAGAATCTGCAAGGGGATGTTTGGAGAGCTTTCAGGCATATTGTGGAAAGGGAAATATTTTCACATAAAAACTACACAGAACCATTCTGAGAAACTTCTTTGTGTCGTGTGCATTCAACTCACAGAGTTGAACATATGTCCTCTTTGAGCAGTTTTGCGTCTCTCTTTTTGTAGAATGTACAAGTGGATATTTGGAGCCCATTGTGTCCTATGGTGGAAAAGGAAATATCTTCAGATAAAAATTACACAGAAGAATTCTGAGAAACTTCTTTGTGATATGTGCATTTATCTCACAGGTTTGAACCTACCGTTTTATTGAGCAGTTTTGAAACACTGTTTTTGTAGAATCTGCAAGTGGATATTTAGAGGGAATTGAGGCCTACCGTGGAAAAGCATATACCTACAAACAAAAACTAAACAGAAGCATTCTGAGAAACTTCTTAGTGATGTGTGCATTCGTCTCACAGAGTTGAAACTTTCCTTTGATTGAGCAGTTTTGAAACACTCTTTTTGTAGAATCTGCAACTGGATATTTGGAGCCCTTTGAGGAATATTGTGGAAAAGGAAATATCTTCACATAAAAACTACACAGAAGCATTCTGAGAAACTTCTTTATGAGGAGTCCATTCAACCCACAGAGTTAAACTTTTCTTCTCATTGAGCAGTTTTGAATCTCTCTATTTGTAGAATCTGCAAGTGGATATTTGCTGCCCTTTGAGGCATACTGAGGAAAAGCAAATATCTTCATATAAAAACTACACAGAAGCATTCTGAGAAACTTCTTTGGGATGTGTGCATTCAACTCACAGAGTTGAACCTATCTTTTGATTGAGCAGATTTGAATCTCTCTTTTGGCAGAAACTGCAAGTAGATATTTGGAGCCATTTGCGGCCTTTGGTGGAAAAAGAAATATTTTCAAATAAAAACTAAACAGAAACATTCTCAGAAACTTATTTGTGATGTGTGCATTCAACTCACAGGGCTGAACATATCTTTTGATTTAGCAGTTTTGAATTTCTCTTTTTGTAGAATTTGCAAGTGGATATTTGGAGCACTGTGAGACCTACTGTGGGAAATGAAATATGTTCACATAAAAACTACTCAGAAGCATTCTGAGAAACTACTTTGTGATGTGTGCATTCAACTCACAGAGTTGAACCTATCTTTTGATCGAGCAGTTTTGAATCTCTCTTTTTGCAGAATCTGCAAGCGGATGTTTGGAGAACGTTGAGGCTTATTATGTAAAAGGGAATATTTTCACATAAATACTACACAGAAGCATTCAGAGAAACATCTTTGTGATGTTTGCATTCATCTCACAGAGTTAAAACTTTCTCTTGATGGAGCAGTTTTGAAACACTCTTTTTGTAGAATCTGCAAGTGGATATTTGGAGCCCTTTGAGGCCTGTTGTGGAAAAGGAAATATCTTCCCATGAAAACTACATAGAAGCATTCTGGGAAACTTCTTTGGGATGTGTGCATTCAACTCACAGAGTTGAACCTATCTTTTGATTGAGCAGTTTGGAATCTCTCTTTTTGAAGAATCTGCAAGTGTGTGTTTTCAAAGCTTTGTGGCCTATTGTGGAAAAGGAAATATCTTCACATAAAAACTACACATAAACATTCTGAGAAAGTTCTTTGCGGTGTGTGCATTCATCTCACGGAGTTGAAACTTTCTTTTGATTGAGCAGTTTTGAAACACTCTTTTTGTACAATCTGCAAGCTGATAATTGGAGCCCTTTGAGGACTATTGTGGAAAAGGAAATATCTTCACATAAAAACTACTCAGAAGCATTCTGATAAACTTCTTTCTGATGTGTGCATTCAACTCACAGAGTTGAACCTATATTTTGATTGAGCAGTTTAGAGGCTCTCTTTTTGCAGAATCTGCAAGTGGATGTTTGGAGAGCTTTGAAACCTATTATGGAAAAGCAAATATCTTCACATAAAAACTACACAGAAGCATTCTGAGAAACTTCTCTGTGAGGTGTGCACTCAACCCACAGAGTTTAACTTATTTTCTCATTGAGCAGTTTTGAATCTCTCTTTTTATAAAATCTGCAGGTAGATATTTGGAGCTCTTTGAGCCCCATGGTGGAAAAGGAAATATCTTCAAATAAAAACTACACAGAAGCATTCATAGAAATTTCTTTGTGATGTATGCATTCAACTCACAGAGTTGAAACTATCTTATTATTGAGCAGTTTTTAATCTCTCTTTTGCAGAATCTGCAAGTGGATATTTGGAACGCTTTGAGGCCTACTGTGGAAAAGCAAATAACTTCAGATAAAAGCTACACAAAAGCTTTCTGAGAAACTTTTTTTGCGATGTGTGCATTCAACTCACAGAGTTGAAACTTTCTTTTGATTGAGCAGATTTGAAACACTCTTTTTGTAGAAACGGTAAGTTGATATTTGGAGCCCTTTGAGGCCTATTGTGGAAAAGGAAATATCTTCACGTAAAAACTACATAGAACCATTCTGAGATACTTCTTTTTGATGTTTGCATTCATCTCACAGTGTTGAAACTTTCTTTTGATTGAGCAGTTTTGAAACACTCTTTTTGTAGAATCTGCAAGTGAATAATTGGAGCCCTTTGAGGGCTATGGTAGAAAAGGAAATATCTTCAAATAAGAACTACAAAGAAACATTCTCAGAAACTTATTTGTGATGTGTGCATTCAACTCACAGGGCTGAACATATCTTTTGATTTAGCAGTTTTGAATTTCTCTTTTTGCAGAATCTGCAAGGGGATGTTTGGAGAGCTTTCAGGCATATTGTGGAAAGGGAAATATTTTCACATAAAAACTACACAGAACCATTCTGAGAAACTTCTTTGTGTCGTGTGCATTCAACTCACAGAGTTGAACATATGTCCTCTTTGAGCAGTTTTGCGTCTCTCTTTTTGTAGAATGTACAAGTGGATATTTGGAGCCCATTGTGTCCTATGGTGGAAAAGGAAATATCTTCAGATAAAAATTACACAGAAGAATTCTGAGAAACTTCTTTGTGATATGTGCATTTATCTCACAGGTTTGAACCTACCGTTTTATTGAGCAGTTTTGAAACACTGTTTTTGTAGAATCTGCAAGTGGATATTTAGAGGGAATTGAGGCCTACCGTGGAAAAGCATATACCTACAAACAAAAACTAAACAGAAGCATTCTGAGAAACTTCTTAGTGATGTGTGCATTCGTCTCACAGAGTTGAAACTTTCCTTTGATTGAGCAGTTTTGAAACACTCTTTTTGTAGAATCTGCAACTGGATATTTGGAGCCCTTTGAGGAATATTGTGGAAAAGGAAATATCTTCACATAAAAACTACACAGA
>NC_000022.11:13254952-13258197 GCF_000001405.40 Homo sapiens
GGCATTCTGAGAAACTTCTTCGTGATGTGTGCATTCATCTCACAGAGTTGAACCTATCTTATGATTGAGCAGATTTGAAACACTGGCTTTGTAGATGCTGCAAGTGGATATTTGGAGCGCTTTGAGGCCTACTGTGGAAAAGGAAATATTTTCACATAAAAACCACACAGAAGCCTTCTGAGAAACTTCTTTGTGATGTGTCCATTCAACTCACTGCCTTGAACCTATCTTTTGATTGAGCAGTTTCGGATCTCTCTTTTTCAGGAACCTGCAAGTGGATGTTTGGAGCCCTTTGCGGTCCATGGAGGCAAAGGAAATATCTTCAAATAAAAACTACACAGAAGCGTTCTGAGAAACTTCTTTGTGATGTGTGCATTCATCTCACAGAGAAGAACCTATCTTATGACTGAGCAGCTTTGAAACACTCTCTTTGCAGAATCTTCAGGTGTATATTTGGAGTGCTTTTTGGCCTATTTTGTAAAAGGAAATATCTTCACATAAAACCTACACAGATTTATTCTGAGAAACTACTTTTTGTTGTGTGTATTCATCTAACAGAGTTGTACGTTTCTTTTGATTGAGCAGTTTTGAAACACAGTTTTTACAGAATGTGCAAGTGGATATTTGGAGCGCTTTGGGGCCTACTGTGGAAAAGCAAATATCTTCACGTAAAAACCACACAGAAGCATTCTAAGAAACTTCTTTGTGATGTGTGCATTCATCCCACAGAGATGAAAGTTTCTTTTGATTGAGAACTTTTGAAACACTCTTTTTGTAGAATCTGCAAGTGGATATTTGGAGCGCTTTTAGACCTACTGTGGAAAAGGAAATATCTTCCCATAAAAACTACACAGAAGCATTCTGAGAAACTTCTTTGCAATGTGTGCATTCAACTCATAGAGTTGAACCTATCTTTTGATTGAGCAGTTTTGAATTTCTCTGTTTGCAGAATCTGCAAGTGGATATTTGAAACCCTTTGCAGCCAATGGAGGATAAGGAAATATCTTCAAATAAATACTACACAGAAGCATTCTGAGAAACTTCTTTGTGATGTGTGCATTCATCTCATAGATTTGAACATATCTTATGATTGAGTACATTTGAAACACTCTCTTTGTAGAATCTGCAAGTGGATACTTGGAGGGCTTTCAGGACTGTTGTGGAAAAGGAAATATCTTCACGTAAAAACTTCACAAAAGCATTCTGAGATACTTCTTTATGATGTATGCACTCAACTCAGAGAGTTGAACCTATCTTTTGATTGAGAAGTTTTGAAACACTCTGTTTGTAGAATCTGCAAGTGGATATTTGGAGTGCTTTGAGGCCTATTGTGGAAAAGGTAATATCTTCACATAAAAACTACAAATAAGCATTCTGAGAAACTTCTTTGTGATGTGTGAATTCAAGTCACAGAGTTTAACCTATCTTTTGATTGAGCAGTTTTGAATCTCTCTTTTTGTAGAATCTGCAAGTGGATATTTGGTGGGCTTTGAGGCCTATTTTGGAAAAGGAAACATCTTCACATAAAAACTACACAGAAGCCTTCTGAGAAACTTCTTTGTGATGTGTCCATTCAACTCACAGCCTTGAACCTATCTTTTGATTGAGCAGTTTCGGATCTCTCTTTTTCAGGAACCTGCAAGTGGATGTTTGGAGCCCTTTGCGGTCCATGGAGGCAAAGGAAATATCTTCAAATAAAAACTACACAGAAGCATTCTAAGAAACTTCTTTGTGATGTGTGCATTCATCCCACAGAGATGAGCAGTTTCAATTGAGCAGTTTTGGATCTCTCTTTTTCTCGGATTTGCAAGTGGATATTTGGAGCCCTTTGCAGTCCATGGAGGCAAAGGAAATATCTTCAAATAAAAACTACAAATATTTATTCTGAGAAACTACTTTTTGTTGTGTGTATTCATCTAACAGAGTTGTACGTTTCTTTTGATTGAGCAGTTTTGAAACACAGTTTTTACAGAATGTGCAAGTGGATATTTGGAGCGCTTTGGGGCCTATTGTGGAAAAGCAAATATCTTCACGTAAAAACCACACAGAAGCATTCTGAGAAACAACTCTGTGATGTGTGCATTCATCCCACAGAGTTGAAAGTTTCTTTTGATTGAGAACTTTTGAAACACTCTTTTTGTAGAATCTGCAAGTGGATATTTGGAGTGCTTTTAGACCTATTGTGGAAAAGGAAATATCTTCCCATAAAAACTACACAGAAGCATTCTGAGAAACTTCTTTGTGATGTGTGCATTCATCTCATAGAGTTGAACGTATCTTTTGATTGAACAGTTTTGAATTTCTCTTTTTGCAGAATCTGCAAGTGGATATTTGAAGCCCTTTGCAGCCAATGGAGGATAAGGAAATATCTTCAAATAAATACTACACAGAAGCATTCTGAGAAACTTCTTTGTGATGTGTGCATTCATCTCATAGATTTGGACATATCTTATGATTGAGTACATTTGAAACACTCTCTTTGTAGAATCTGCAAGTGGATACTTGGAGGGCTTTCAGGACTGTTGTGGAAAAGAAAATATCTTCACGTAAAAACTACACAAAAGCATTCTGAGATACTTCTTTATGATGTATGCATTCAACTCAGAGAGTTGAACCTATCTTTTGATTGAGAAGTTTTGAAACACTCTGTTTGTAGAATCTGCAAGTGGATATTTGGAGTGCTTTGAGGCCTATTGTGGAAAAGGTAATATCTTCACATAAAAACTACAAATAAGCATTCTGAGAAACTACTTTGTGATGTGTGTGTTAAACTCACAGAGGTGAACTTATCTTTTGATTGAGCAGATTTGAATATCTCTTTTTGTAGGAGCTGCAAGTGGGTATTTGGAGCCCTTTGAGGCCTATTGTGGAAAAGAAAATATCTTCACATAAAAACAACACAGAAGCATTCTGAGAAACTTCTTTGTGATGTGTGCATTCAACTCACAGTCTTGAACCTATCTTTCAATTGAGCATTTTTGGATCTCTCTTTTTCTCGGATTTGCAAGTGGATATTTGGAGCCCTTTGCAGTCCATGGAGGCAAAGGAAATATCTTCAAATAAAAACTACACAGAAGCATTCTGAGAAACTTCTTTGTGATGTGTGCATTCATCTCACAGAGATGAACCTATCTTATGACTGAGCAGCTTTGAAACAGTCTCTTTGCAAAATCTTCAGGTGTATATTTGGAGTGCTTTTTGGCCTATTGTGTAAAAGGAAATATCTTCACATAAACCTACACAGA
>NC_000022.11:13258297-13280858 GCF_000001405.40 Homo sapiens
GGAATTCTGAGAGACTTCTTTGTGATGCGTGTACTCATCTTACAGAGTTAAACCTTCCTTTTGAATGAGCAGATTTGAAACTGTCTTTTTGTAGAATCTGCAAGTGGACATTTTGAGCGCCTTGAGGCCTATGGTGGAAAAGAAAATGCCTTCACATGAAAACTAGACAGAAGAATTCTGAGAAACTTCTTTCTTATGTGTGCGTTAATCTCACACAGTTGAACCTTTCTTTTGATTGAGCAGTTTCAAACACTCTTTTTGTAGAATCTGCAAGTGGACTTTTGGAGCACTTTGTGGCCTACGGTAGAAAAGGAAATATCGTCACATAAAATCTAGACAGAAGCAATCTGAGACTTCTTTGTGATGTGTGCATTCACCACACATTGTGTAACCTTTCCCTTGATTGAGCAGTTTTGAAACTCTTTTTGTAGAATCTACAAGTCTACATTTGGAGTGCTTTGAGGCCTATGGTAGAAAAGGAAATATCTTCACATAAAAACTAGTCAAAAGAATTCTGAGAAACTGCTTGGTGATGTGTGCGTTCACCACACAGAGCTGAACCATTGTTTTGATTGAGCAGTTTGGAAACCCTCTTTTTGTAGAATATGCAAGTGGACATTTGGAGTACTTTGATGCCCCTGGTCGAAAAGGAAATATCTTAACTTAAAAACTAGACAGAATAATTCTGGGAAACTTCTTTCTGATGTGTGCGTTCATCTCACAGAGTTAAACTTTTCATTTTATTGAGCAGTTTGGAAACACTCTTTTTGTAGAATCTGCAAGTGGACATTTGGAGCGCATTGTGGTATGCAGTAGAAAAGGAAATGTCTCCACAAAAAATGTAGACAGAAGCAGTCTTATAAACTTCTTTGTGATGTGTGCATTCATTTCACAGATTTGAACCTATCTTTAGATTGAGCAGTTTGGAAACACTCTTTTTGTAGAATCTGCAAGTGCACACGTGGAGAGATTTGCGGCCAATGGTAGAGAAGCAAATATCTTCGCATAAACTCTAGACAGAAGCATTCTGACAAACTTCTTTGTGATGTGTGCATTCATCTCACAAAGAATTGAAACTTTCTTTGATTCAGGAGCTTTGAAACACTCTTTTTGTAGAATCTGCAAGTGTACATTTGGAGCGCTTTGAGGCCTATGGTGGAAAAGGGAACATCTTCACATATAGAACAGACAGAAGCCTTCTGACAAACTTCTTTTCAATGTGTGCGTTCAACTCAAAGATTTGAACCTTACTTTTCATTGAGCAGATTTGAAACACTCTTTTTGTAGAATCTGCAAGTGGACAATTGGACCGCTTTCTGGCCTATGGTGGAAAAGGATGTATCGTCACATAAAAACTAGACAGAAATCTTCTGACAAACTTCTTTGTTATGCATGCATTCATCTTTCAGAGTTGAACCTTCCTTTTGATTGAGCAACTTTGAAACACTCTTTTTGTAGAATCTGCAAGTAGTCATTTGTAGCGCTTTGGAGACTATGGCGAAAAAGGAAATATCTTCCCATAAAAACTAGACAGAGGCATTCTGACAAACTTCTTTGTGATGTGGGCATTCATCTCACAGAGTTGAACCTTACTTTTCATTGAGCTATTTTGAAACACTCTTTTTGGAGAATCTGTAAGTGGACTTTTTGAGGGCTTTGACGCACGTGGTGGAAAAGGAAATATCTTCATATAAAAACTAGACAGAAGGATTCTGAGAAACTTCTTTGTGATGTGTGCATTCATCTCACAGAGTTGAACCTTACTTTTCATTGAGCAGTTTTGAAACACTCTTTTTGTAGAATCTGCAAGTGGACATTTGGAGAACTTTGAGGCCTGTGGTGTAAAAGGAAATATCTTCACATAAAAACTAGACAGAAGCATTCTGACAAACGTCTTTGTGATGTGTGCTTTCATCTCACAGAGTTGAACATTTCTTTTGATTTAGCAGCTTTGAAACACTCTTTTTGTAGAATCTGCCGTTGGACATTTGCGGCACTTCAAGCCAATGGTAGAAAAGGAAATACCTTCACATAGAAAGTAGATAGAAGCATTCTGACAAACTACTTTGTGATGTGTACATTCATCTCACAGAGCTGGACCTTTCTTTTGATTGAGCAGCTTTGAAACACTCTTTTTGTAGAATCTGCAATTGTACATTTGGAGCGCTTTGAGGTCTATGGTCGAAAAGCAAATATCTTCACAGAAAAACTAGACAGAAACATTCTGAGAAATTTCTTTGTGATGTGTGCAATCATCTCACAGAGTTGAACCTTACTTTTGATTGTCTAGTTTTGAAAAACTCTTTTTGTAGAATCTGAAAGTGGACATTTGGAGCGCTTTGAGTCCTATGATGGATAACGAAATATCTTCATATAATAAATAGAGAGAACTATTCTGAGAAACTTCTTTGGGATGTGTGCTTTCATCTCACAGAGTAAAACATTCTTTTGATCGAGCAGTTTTGTAAGTCTCTTTTTGTAGAATCTGCAAGTGGACATTTTGAGTCCTTTCAGGCCTATGGTGGAAAAAGAAATATCTACAAATTGAAACTCGACAGAAGAATTCTGAGAAACTCCTTTGTGATGCTTGCATTCATCTAACAGACTTGAACCTTTCTTTATGATTGAGCAGTTTGGAAACCCTCTTTTTGTAGAATCTGCTAGCGGATATCTGGAGCGTTTTGCAGCCTATGGTGGAAAAGGAAATATCTTCACATAAAAACTAAACAGATGTATTCTGAGAAACTTCTATGTGATGTGTGCATTCATCTCACAGAGTTGAACCTTTCTTTTGATTGAGCAGTTTGGAAACACTCTTTTTGTAGAGTCTGCAAGTGGACGTATGGAATGCTTTGAAGCCTATGGTAGAACAGGAAATATCTTCACATAAAATCTAGACAGAGGAATTCTGAGAGACTTCTTTGTGATGCGTGTACTCATCTTACAGAGTTAAACCTTCCTTTTGAATGAGCAGATTTGAAACTGTCTTTTTGTAGAATCTGCAAGTGGACATTTTGAGCGCCTTGAGGCCTATGGTGGAAAAGAAAATGCCTTCACATGAAAACTAGACAGAAGAATTCTGAGAAACTTCTTTCTGATGTGTGCGTTAATCTCACACAGTTAAACCTTTCTTTTGATTGAGCAGTTTCAAAACACTCTTTTTGTAGAATCTGCAAGTAGACATTTGGAGGGCTTTGTGGCCTACGGTAGAAAAGGAAATATCATCACATAAAATCTAGACAGAAGCAATCTGAGACTTCTTTGTGATGTGTGCATTCACCACACATTGTTTAACCTTTCCCTTGATTGAGCAGTTTTGAAACTCTTTTTGTAGAATCTACCAGTCTACATTTGGAGTGCTTTGAGGCCTATGGTGGAAAAGGAAATATCTTCACATAAAAACTAGTCAAAAGCATTCTGAGAAACCTCTTTGTGATGTTTGTATTCATCTCCCAGAGCTGAACCATTCTTTTTATGGACAGTTTTGAAATACTCTTTTTGTAGAATCTGCAAGTGGACAATTTGAGCACCTTGTGGCCTCTGGTGGAAAATGAAATATCTTTACATAAAAACTAGACTGAAGCATTATGATAAACTTTTTGTGATGTCTGCATACATCTCACAAGGAGTTGAAACTTTCTTTTGATTGAGAAGCTTTGCAACATTCTTTTTGTAGAATCTGCAAGTGGACATTTGGAGTGCTTTGAGGCCTATGGTGGATAACGAAATATGTTCACATAAAAATTGGACAGAAGCATTCTGAGAAACTTCTTTGTGATGTGCGCATTCATCTCACAGAGTTGAACCTCCCTTTTGATTGAGCACTTTGGAAGCACTCTTTCTGTAAAATCTGCAAGTGGACAATTGGAGTGCTTTGAGGTCTATGGTGGAAAACGAAATATCTTCACATAAAAATTGGACAGAAGCATTCTGACAAACTTCTTTGTGATGTGTGCATTCATCTCACAAAGAATTGAAACTTTCTTTGATTCAGGAGCTTTGAAACACTCTTTTTGTAGAATCTGCAAGTGTACATTTGGAGCGCTTTGAGGCCTATGGTGGAAAAGGGAACATCTTCACATATAGAACAGACAGAAGCATTCTGACAAACTTCTTTTCAATGTGTGCGTTCAACTCAAAGATTTGAACCTTACTTTTCATTGAGCAGGTTTGAAACACTCTTTTTGTAGAATCTGCAAGTGGACAATTGGACCGCTTTCTGGCCTATGGTGGAAAAGGATGTATCGTCACATAAAAACTAGACAGAAATCTTCTGACAAACTTCTTTGTTATGCATGCATTCATCTTTCAGAGTTGAACCTTCCTTTTGATTGAGCAACTTTGAAACACTCTTTTTGTAGAATCTGCAAGTAGTCATTTGTAGCGCTTTGGAGACTATGGTGAAAAAGGAAATATCTTCCCATAAAAACTAGACAAAAGCATTCTGACAAACTTCTTTGTGATGTGGGCATTCATCTCACAGAGTTGAACCTTACTTTTCATTGAGCAATTTTGAAACACTCTTTTTGGAGAATCTGTAAGTGGACATTTTGAGGGCTTTGACGCACATGGTGGAAAAGGAAATATCTTCATATATCTTCATATAAAAAACAGAAGCATTCTGACAACCTTCATGGTGATATGTGCATTCATCTCCCAGAGTTGAACCTTAGTTTTGATTGAGCAGTTTTGAAACACCCTTTTTGTAGTATCTGCAAGAGGACATTTAGAGTGCTTTGAGGCCTATGGTGGAAAAGGAAATACCCTCATATAAAAACGAGACAGAAGCATTCTGACAAACTACTTTGTGATGTGTACATTCATCTCACAGAGCTGGACCTTTCTTTTGATTGAGCAGCTTTGAAACACTCTTTTTGTAGAATCTGCAATTGGACATTTGGAGCGCTTTGAGGTCTATGGTCGAAAAGCAAATATCTTCACAGAAAAACTAGACAGAAGTATTTTGAAAAACTTCATTGTGACGTTTGCATTCATCTCACTGACGTGAACCTTTCTTTTGATTGAGCAGTTTTGAAAAACTCTTTTTGTAGGATCTGCATGTGGACATTTGGATCGCTTTGAGGCCTATGGAGGAAAAGAAAATATCTCCACCTAAAAACCATACAGAATTATTCTGAGAAACTTCTTTGTGATGTGTGCATTCATCTCACAAAGTTGAACCTTACTTTTCATTGAGCAATTTTGAAACACTCTTTTTGTAGAATCTGCAAGTGGACATTTGGAGCACTTTTAGATCTATGGTGGAAAAGGAAATATCTTCACATAAAAACTAGACAGAACTATTCTGAGAAACTTCTTTGGGATGTGTGCTTTCATCTCACAGAGTAAAACATTCTTTTGATCAAGCAGTTTTGTAAGTCTCTTTTTGTAGAATCTGCAAGTGGACATTTTGAGTCCTTTCAGGTCTATGGTGGAAAAGGAAATATCTACAAATTGAAACTTGACAGAAGAATTCTGAGAAACTCCTTTGTGATGCTTGCATTTATCTAACAGAGTTGAACCTTTCTTTATGATTGAGCAGTTCGGAAACCCTCTTTTTGTAGAATCTGCTAGCGGATATTTGGAGCGTTTTGCAGCCTATGGTGGAAAAGGAAATATCTTCACATAAAAACTAAACAGATGTATTCTGATAAACTTCTATGTGATGTGTGCGTTCATCTCACAGAGTTGAACCTTTCTTTTGATTGAGCAGTTTGGAAACACTCTTTTCGTAGAATCTGCAAGTAGACGTATGGAATGCTTTGAAGCCTATGGTAGAACAGGAAATATCTTCACATAAAATCTAGACAGAGGAATTCTGAGAGACTTCTTTGTGATGCGTGTACTCATCTTACAGAGTTAAACCTTCCTTTTGAATGAGCAGATTTGAAACTGTCTTTTTGTAGAATCTGCAAGTGGACATTTTGAGCGCCTTGAGGCCTATGGTGGAAAAGAAAATGCCTTCACATGAAAACTAGACAGAAGAATTCTGAGAAACTTCTTTCTGATGTGTGCGTTAATCTCACACAGTTGAACCTTTCTTTTGATTGAGCAGTTTCAAAACACTCTTTTTGTAGAATCTGCAAGTAGACATTTGGAGGGCTTTGTGGCCTACGGTAGAAAAGGAAATATCATCACATAAAATCTAGACAGAAGCAATCTGAGACTTCTTTGTGATGTGTGCATTCACCACACATTGTTTAACCTTTCCCTTGATTGAGCAGTTTTGAAACTCTTTTTGTAGAATCTACAAGTCTACATTTGGAGTGCTTTGAGGCCTATGGTGGAAAAGGAAATATCTTCACATAAAAACTAGTCAAAAGAATTCTGAGAAACTTCTTGGTGATGTGTGCGTTCACCTCACAGAGCTGAACCATTGTTTTGATTGAGCAGTTTGGAAACCCTCTTTTCGTAGAATATGCAAGTGGACATTTGGAGTACTTTGATGCCCCTGGTCGAAAAGGAAATATCTTAACTTAAAAACTAGACAGAAGCATTCTGAGAAACTTCTTTCTGATGTGTGAATTCATCTCACAGGGTTGAACCTCTCTTTTGAAAGACCAGTTTTGAAATATGCTTTTTGTAGAATCTGCAAGTAGAATTTTCGAGAGCCATGAGGCCTATGGTGGAATAGGAAATATCTCCACATAAAAACTAGACAGAACTATTCTGAGAAACTTCTTTGGGATGTGTGCTTTCATCTCACAGAGTAAAACATTCTTTTGATCGAGCAGTTTTGTAAGTCTCTTTTTGTAGAATCTGCAAGTGGACATTTTGAGTCCTTTCAGGTCTATGGTGGAAAAGGAAATATCTACAAATTGAAACTTGACAGAAGAATTCTGAGAAACTCCTTTGTGATGCTTGCATTCATCTAACAGACTTGAACCTTTCTTTATGATTGAGCAGTTTGGAAACCCTCTTTTTGTAGAATCTGCTAGCGGATATCTGGAGCGTTTTGCAGCCTATGGTGGAAAAGGAAATATCTTCACATAAAAACTAAACAGATGTATTCTGAGAAACTTCTATGTGATGTGTGCATTCATCTCACAGAGTTGAACCTTTCTTTTGATTGAGCAGTTTGGAAACACTCTTTTTGTAGAGTCTGCAAGTGGACGTATGGAATGCTTTGAAGCCTATGGTAGAACAGGAAATATCTTCACATAAAATCTAGACAGAGGAATTCTGAGAGACTTCTTTGTGATGCGTGTACTCATCTTACAGAGTTAAACCTTCCTTTTGAATGAGCAGATTTGAAACTGTCTTTTTGTAGAATCTGCAAGTGGACATTTTGAGCGCCTTGAGGCCTATGGTGGAAAAGAAAATGCCTTCACATGAAAACTAGACAGAAGAATTCTGAGAAACTTCTTTCTGATGTGTGCGTTAATCTCACACAGTTAAACCTTTCTTTTGATTGAGCAGTTTCAAAACACTCTTTTTGTAGAATCTGCAAGTAGACATTTGGAGGGCTTTGTGGCCTACGGTAGAAAAGGAAATATCATCACATAAAATCTAGACAGAAGCAATCTGAGACTTCTTTGTGATGTGTGCATTCACCACACATTGTTTAACCTTTCCCTTGATTGAGCAGTTTTGAAACTCTTTTTGTAGAATCTACCAGTCTACATTTGGAGTGCTTTGAGGCCTATGGTGGAAAAGGAAATATCTTCACATAAAAACTAGTCAAAAGAATTCTGAGAAACTGCTTGGTGATGTGTGCGTTCACCACACAGAGCTGAACCATTGTTTTGATTGAGCAGTTTGGAAACCCTCTTTTTGTAGAATCTGCAAGTGGACAATTTGAGCACCTTGTGGCCTCTGGTGGAAAATGAAATATCTTTACATAAAAACTAGACTGAATAATTCTGGGAAACTTCTTTCTGATGTGTGCGTTCATCTCACAGAGTTAAACTTTTCATTTTATTGAGCAGTTTGGAAACACTCTTTTTGTAGAATCTGCAAGTGGACATTTGGAGCGCATTGTGGTATGCAGTAGAAAAGGAAATGTCTCCACAAAAAATGTAGACAGAAGCATTCTGAGAAACTTCTTTGTGATGTGTGCATTCATCTTACAGGGTTGAACCTCCCTTTTGATTGAGCACTTTGGAAGCACTCTTTTTGTAAAATCTGCAAGTGGACAATTGGAGTGCTTTGAGGCCTATGGTGGAAAAGGAAATATCTTCACTTAAAAACTAGACAGAAGCATTCTGACAAACTTCTTTGTGATGTGTGCATTCATCTCACAAAGAATTGAAACTTTCTTTGATTCAGGAGCTTTGAAACACTCTTTTTGTAGAATCTGCAAGTGTACATTTGGAGCGCTTTGAGGCCTATGGTGGAAAAGGGGACATCTTCACATATAGAACAGACAGAAGCATTCTGACAAACTTCTTTTTGATGTGTGCGTTCAACTCACAGATTTGAACCTTACTTTTCATTGAGCAGATATGAAACACTCCTTTTGTAGAATCTGCAAGTGGACAATTGGACCGCTTTGTGGCCTATGGTGGAAAAGGATATATCGTCACATAAAAACTAGACAGAAATCTTCTGACAAACTTCTTTGTTATGTGTGCATTCATCTTTCAGAGTTGAACCTTTCTTTTGATTGAGCAACTTTGAAACACTGTTTTTGTAGAATCTGCAAGTAGTCATTTGGAGCGCTTTGGGGCCTATGGCAAAAAAGGAAATATCTTCACATAAAAACTAGACAGAAGCATTCTGACAAACTTCTTTGTGATGTGTGCATTCATCTCACAGAGTTGAAACTTACTTTTCATTGAGCAATTTTGAAACACTCTTTTTGGAGAATCTGTAAGTGGACATTTTGAGGGCTTTGACGCACATGGTGGAAAAGGAAATACCTTCACATAAAAACGAGACAGAAGCATTCTGACAAACTTCTTTGTGATGTGTGCATTCATCTCACAGAGTTGAACCTTACTTTTCATTGAGCAATTTTGAAACACTCTTTTTGGAGAATCTGTAAGTGGACATTTTGAGGGCTTTGACGCACATGGTGGAAAAGGAAATACCTTCACATAAAAACGAGACAGAAGCATTCTGACAAACTACTTTGTAATGTGTGCATTCATCTCTCAGAGCTGGACCTTTCTTTTGGTTGAACAGCTTTGAAACACTCTTTTTGTAGAATCTGCAAGTGGACATTTGGAGCGCTTTGAGGCCTATGGTGGAAAAGGAAATATCTTCACAGAAAAACTAGACAGAAGAATTCTGAGAAACTTCTTGTTGATGTGTGTGTTCACCTCACAGAGTTGAACCGTTGTTTTGATTGAGCAGTTTGGAAACCCTCTTTTTGTAGAATCTGCATGTGGACATTTGGAGCGCTTTGAGGCCTATGGTGGAAAAGGAAGTATCTTCACATAAAAACTAGACAGAATTATTCTGAGAAACTTCTTTGTGATGTGTGAATTCATCTCACAAAGTTGAACCTTACTTTTCATTGAGCAATTTTGAAACACTCTTTTTGTAGAATCTGCAAGTGGACATTTGGAGCACTTTTAGATCTATGGTGGAAAAGGAAATATCTTCACATAAAAACTAGACAGAACTATTCTGAGAAACTTCTTTGGGATGTGTGCTTTCATCTCACAGAGTAAAACATTCTTTTGATCGAGCAGTTTTGTAAGTCTCTTTTTGTAGAATCTGCAAGTGGACATTTTGAGTCCTTTCAGGCCTATGGTGGAAAAGGAAATATCTACAAATTGAAACTCGACAGAAGAATTCTGAGAAACTCCTTTGTGATGCTTGCATTCATCTAACAGACTTGAACCTTTCTTTATGATTGAGCAGTTTGGAAACCCTCTTTTTGTAGAATCTGCTAGCGGATATCTGGAGCGTTTTGCAGCCTATGGTGGAAAAGGAAATATCTTCACATAAAAACTAAACAGATGTATTCTGAGAAACTTCTATGTGATGTGTGCATTCATCTCACAGAGTTGAACCTTTCTTTTGATTGAGCAGTTTGGAAACACTCTTTTTGTAGAGTCTGCAAGTGGACGTATGGAATGCTTTGAAGCCTATGGTAGAACAGGAAATATCTTCACATAAAATCTAGACAGAGGAATTCTGAGAGACTTCTTTGTGATGCGTGTACTCATCTTACAGAGTTAAACCTTCCTTTTGAATGAGCAGATTTGAAACTGTCTTTTTGTAGAATCTGCAAGTGGACATTTTGAGCGCCTTGAGGCCTATGGTGGAAAAGAAAATGCCTTCACATGAAAACTAGACAGAAGAATTCTGAGAAACTTCTTTCTGATGTGTGCGTTAATCTCACACAGTTAAACCTTTCTTTTGATTGAGCAGTTTCAAAACACTCTTTTTGTAGAATCTGCAAGTAGACATTTGGAGGGCTTTGTGGCCTACGGTAGAAAAGGAAATATCATCACATAAAATCTAGACAGAAGCAGTCTTATAAACTTCTTTGTGATGTGTGCATTCATGTCACAGATTTGAACCTATCTTTAGATTGAGCAGTTTGGAAACACTCTTTTTGTAGAATCTGCAAGTGCACATGTGGAGAGATTTGTGGCCAATGGTAGAGAAGCAAATATCTTCGCATAAACTCTAGACAGAAGCATTCTGAGAAACCTCTTTGTGATGTTTGTATTCATCTCCCAGAGCTGAACCTTTCTTTTGATGGACAGTTTTGAAATACTCTTTTTGTAGAATCTGCAAGTGGACAATTTGAGCACCTTGTGGCCTCTGGTGGAAAATGAAATATCTTTACATAAAAACTAGACTGAATAATTCTGGGAAACTTCTTTCTGATGTGTGCGTTCATCTCACAGAGTTAAACTTTTCATTTTATTGAGCAGTTTGGAAACACTCTTTTTGTAGAATCTGCAAGTGGACATTTGGAGCGCATTGTGGTATGCAGTAGAAAAGGAAATGTCTCCACAAAAAATGTAGACAGAAGCAGTCTTATAAACTTCTTTGTGATGTGTGCATTCATCTTACAGGGTTGAACCTCCCTTTTGATTGAGCACTTTGGAAGCACTCTTTTTGTAAAATCTGCAAGTGGACAATTGGAGTGCTTTGAGGCCTATGGTGGAAAAGGAAATATCTTCACTTAAAAACTAGACAGAAGCATTCTGACAAACTTCTCTGTGATGTGTGCATTCATCTCACAAAGAATTGAAACTTTCTTTGATTCAGGAGCTTTGAAACACTCTTTTTGTAGAATCTGCAAGTGTACATTTGGAGCGCTTTGAGGCCTATGGTGGAAAAGGGGACATCTTCACATATAGAACAGACAGAAGCATTCTGACAAACTTCTTTTCGATGTGTGCGTTCAACTCACAGATTTGAACCTTACTTTTCATTGAGCAGATATGAAACACTCCTTTTGTAGAATCTGCAAGTGGACAATTGGACCGCTTTGTGGCCTATGGTGGAAAAGGATATATCGTCACATAAAAACTAGACAGAAATCTTCTGACAAACTTCTTTGTTATGCATGCATTCATCTTTCAGAGTTGAACCTTCCTTTTGATTGAGCAACTTTGAAACACTCTTTTTGTAGAATCTGCAAGTAGTCATTTGTAGCGCTTTGGAGACTATGGCGAAAAAGGAAATATCTTCCCATAAAAACTAGACAAAGGCATTCTGACAAACTTCTTTGTGATGTGGGCATTCATCTCACAGAGTTGAACCTTACTTTTCATTGAGCTATTTTGAAACACTCTTTTTGGAGAATCTGTAAGTGGACTTTTTGAGGGCTTTGACGCACGTGGTGGAAAAGGAAATATCTTCATATAAAAACTAGACAGAAGCATTCTGACAACCTTCATTGTGATATGTGCATTCATCTCCCAGAGTTGAACCTTAGTTTTGATTGAGCAGTTTTGAAACACCCTTTTTGTAGTATCTGCAAGAGGACATTTCGAGTGCTTTGAGGCCTATGGTGGAAAAGGAAATACCCTCATATAAAAACGAGACAGAAGCATTCTCACAAACTGCTTTGTGATGTGTGCATTCATCTCACAAAGTTGAAACTTTCTTTTGATTGAGCAGCTTTGAAACACTCTTTGTAGAGTCTGCAAGTGGACATTTGGAGCACTTTGAGGCCTACAGTGGAAAAGGAAATACCTTCACATAAAAATTAGACAGAAGCATTTTGAAAAACTTCTTTGTGACGTTTGCATTCATCTCACTGACTTGAAACTTTCTTTTGATTGAGCGGTTTTGAAAAACTCTTTTTGTAGGATCTGCAAGTGGACATTTAGAGCGCTTTGAGGCCTATGGTGGAAAAGAAAATATCTTCACCTAAAAACCAGACAGAAGCATTCTGACAACCTTCATTGTGATATGTGCATTCATCTAAGAGAGTTGAACCTTACTTTTGATTCAGCAGTTTTGAAACTCTCTTTTTGTAGAATCTGCAAGTGGACATTCGGAGCACTTTTAGACCTATGGTGGAAAAGGAAATATCTTCACATAAAAACTAGACAGAACTATTCTGAGAAACTTCTTTGGGATGTGTGCTTTCATCTCACAGAGTAAAACATTCTTTTGATCGAGCAGTTTTGTAAGTCTCTTTTTGTAGAATCTGCAAGTGGACATTTTGAGTCCTTTCAGGCCTATGGTGGAAAAGGAAATATCTACAAATTGAAACTCGACAGAAGAATTCTGAGAAACTCCTTTGTGATGCTTGCATTCATGTAACAGAGTTGAACCTTTCTTTATGATTGATCAGTTTGGAAACCCTCTTTTTTAGAATCTGCCAGCGGATATTTGGAGCGTTTTGCAGCCTATGGTGGAAAAGGAAATATCTTCACATGAAAACTAAATAGATGTATTCTGAGAAACTTCTATGTGATGTGTGCGTTCATCTCACAGAGTTGAACCTTTCTTTTGATTGAGCAGTTTGGAAACACTCTTTTTGTAGAATCTGCAAGTGGACGTATGGAATGCTTTGAAGCCTATGGTAGAACAGGAAATATCTTCACATAAAATCTGAACAGAGGAATTCTGAGAGACTCCTTTGTGATGTTTGTATTCATCTTACAGAATTAAACCTTCCTTTTGAATGAGCAGATTTGAAACTGTCTTTTTGTAGAATCTGCAAGTGGACATTTTGAGCGCCTGGAGGCCTATGGTGGAAAAGAAAATGGCTTCACATGAAAACTAGACAGAAGCATTCTGACAGACTTCTTTGTGATTTGTGCATTCATCTCATAGAGTTGAACCTTACTTTTCATTGAGCAGCTTTGAAACACTCTTTTTGTAGAATGTGCAAGTGGACATTTGGAGCCCTTTGAGGCCTATGGTGGAAAAGGAAATATCTTCACATAAAAACTAGACAGAAGCAATCTGAGACTTCTTTGTGATGTGTGCATTCACCACACATTGTTTAACCTTTCCCTTGATTGAGCAGTTTTGAAACTCTTTTTGTAGAATCTACCAGTCTACATTTGGAGTGCTTTGAGGCCTATGGTGGAAAAGGAAATATCTTCACATAAAAACTAGTCAAAAGCAATTCTGAGAAACTGCTTGGTGATGTGTGCGTTCACCACACAGAGCTGAACCATTGTTTTGATTGAGCAGTTTGGAAACCCTCTTTTTGTAGAATCTGCAAGTGGACAATTTGAGCACCTTGTGGCCTCTGGTGGAAAATGAAATATCTTTACATAAAAACTAGACTGAATAATTCTGGGAAACTTCTTTCTGATGTGTGCGTTCATCTCACAGAGTTAAACTTTTCATTTTATTGAGCAGTTTGGAAACACTCTTTTTGTAGAATCTGCAAGTGGACATTTGGAGCGCATTGTGGTATGCAGTAGAAAAGGAAATGTCTCCACAAAAAATGTAGACAGAAGCAGTCTTATAAACTTCTTTGTGATGTGTGCATTCATGTCACAGATTTGAACCTATCTTTAGATTGAGCAGTTTGGAAACACTCTTTTTGTAGAATCTGCAAGTGCACATGTGGAGAGATTTGTGGCCAATGGTAGAGAAGCAAATATCTTCTCATAAACTCTAGACAGAAGCATTCTGACAAACTTCTTTGTGATGTGTGCATTCATCTCACAAAGAATTGAAACTTTCCTTGATTCAGGAGCTTTGAAACACTCTTTTTGTAGAATCTGCAAGTGTACATTTGGAGCACTTTGAGGCCTATGGTGGAAAAGGGAACATCTTCACATACAGAACAGACAGAAGCATTCTGACAAACTTCTTTTCGATGTGTGCGTTCAACTCACAGATTTGAACCTTACTTTTCATTGAGCAGATATGAAACACTCTTTTTGTAGAATCTGCAAGTGGACAATTGGACCGCTTTGTGGCCTATGGTGGAAAAGGATATATCGTCACATAAAAACTAGACAGAAATCTTCTGACAAACTTCTTTGTTATGCATGCATTCATCTTTCAGAGTTGAAACTTCCTTTTGATTGAGCAACTTTGAAACACTCTTTTTGTAGAATCTGCAAGTAGTCATTTGTAGCGCTTTGGGGACTATGGCGAAAAAGGAAATATCTTCACATAAAAACTAGACAGAAGCATTCTGACAAACTTCTTTGTGATGTGGGCATTCATCTCACAGAGTTGAACCTTACTTTTCATTGAGCAATTTTGAAACACTCTTTTTGGAGAATCTGTAAGTGGACATTTTGAGGGCTTTGACGCACATGGTGGAAAAGGAAATATCTTCATATATCTTCATATAAAAAACAGAAGCATTCTGACAACCTTCATTGTGATATGTGCATTCATCTCCCAGAGTTGAACCTTAGTTTTGATTGAGCAGTTTTGAAACACCCTTTTTGTAGTATCTGCAAGAGGACATTTCGAGTGCTTTGAGGCCTATGGTGGAAAAGGAAATACCCTCATATAAAAACGAGACAGAAGCATTCTGACAAACTACTTTGTGCTGTGTGCATTCATCTCACAGAGCTGGACCTTTCTTTTGATTGAGCAGCTTTGAAACACTCTTTTTGTAGAATCTGCAATTGGACATTTGGAGCACTTTGAGGTCTATGGTCGAAAAGCAAATATCTTCACAGAAAAACTAGACAGAAGTATTTTGAAAAACTTCATTGTGACGTTTGCATTCATCTCACTGATGTGAACCTTTCTTTTGATTGAGCAGTTTTGAAAAACTCTTTTTGTAGGATCTGCATGTGGACATTTGGATCGCTTTGAGGCCTATGGAGGAAAAGAAAATATCTTCACCTAAAAACCATACAGAAGTATTCTGAGAAACTTCTTTGTGATGTGTGCATTCATCTCACAGAGTTGAACCTTACTTTTCATTGAGCAATTTTGAAACACTCTTTTTGTAGAATCTGCAAGTGGACATTTGGAGCACTTTTAGACCTATGGTGGAAAAGGAAATATCTTCACATAAAAACTAGACAGAACTATTCTGAGAAACTTCTTTGGGATGTGTGCTTTCATCTCACAGAGTAAAACATTCTTTTGATCGAGCAGTTTTGTAAGTCTCTTTTTGTAGAATCTGCAAGTGGACATTTTGAGTCCTTTCAGGCCTATGGTGGAAAAGGAAATATCTACAAATTGAAACTCGACAGAAGAATTCTGAGAAACTCCTTTGTGATGCTTGCATTCATCTAACAGACTTGAACCTTTCTTTATGATTGAGCAGTTTGGAAACCCTCTTTTTGTAGAATCTGCTAGCGGATATCTGGAGCGTTTTGCAGCCTATGGTGGAAAAGGAAATATCTTCACATAAAAACTAAACAGATGTATTCTGAGAAACTTCTATGTGATGTGTGCATTCATCTCACAGAGTTGAACCTTTCTTTTGATTGAGCAGTTTGGAAACACTCTTTTTGTAGAGTCTGCAAGTGGACGTATGGAATGCTTTGAAGCCTATGGTAGAACAGGAAATATCTTCACATAAAATCTAGACAGAGGAATTCTGAGAGACTTCTTTGTGATGCGTGTACTCATCTTACAGAGTTAAACCTTCCTTTTGAATGAGCAGATTTGAAACTGTCTTTTTGTAGAATCTGCAAGTGGACATTTTGAGCGCCTTGAGGCCTATGGTGGAAAAGAAAATGCCTTCACATGAAAACTAGACAGAAGAATTCTGAGAAACTTCTTTCTGATGTGTGCGTTAATCTCACACAGTTAAACCTTTCTTTTGATTGAGCAGTTTCAAAACACTCTTTTTGTAGAATCTGCAAGTAGACATTTGGAGGGCTTTGTGGCCTACGGTAGAAAAGGAAATATCATCACATAAAATCTAGACAGAAGCAATCTGAGACTTCTTTGTGATGTGTGCATTCACCACACATTGTTTAACCTTTCCCTTGATTGAGCAGTTTTGAAACTCTTTTTGTAGAATCTACAAGTCTACATTTGGCGTGCTTTGAGGCCTATGGTGGAAAAGGAAATATCTTCACATAAAAACTAGTCAAAAGAATTCTGAGAAACTGCTTGGTGATGTGTGCGTTCACCACACAGAGCTGAACCATTGTTTTGATTGAGCAGTTTGGAAACCCTCTTTTTGTAGAATCTGCAAGTGGACAATTTGAGCAACTTGTGGCCTCTGGTGGAAAATGAAATATCTTTACATAAAAACTAGACTGAATAATTCTGGGAAACTTCTTTCTGATGTGTGCGTTCATCTCACAGAGTTAAACTTTTCATTTTATTGAACAGTTTGGAAACACTCTTTTTGTAGAATCTGCAAGTGGACATTTGGAGAGCATTGTGGTATGCAGTAGAAAAGGAAATGTCTCCACAAAAAATGTAGACAGAAGCATTCTGAGAAACTTCTTTGTGACGTGTGCATTCATCTCACAGAGTTGAACCTCCCTTTTGATTGAGCACTTTCGAAGCACTCTTTCTGTAAAATCTGCAAGTGGACAATTGGAGTGCTTTGAGGCCTATGGTGGAAAAGGAAATATCTTCACTTAAAAACTAGACAGAAGCATTCTGACAAACTTCTTTGTGATGTGTGCATTCATCTCACAAAGAATTGAAACTTTCCTTGATTCAGGAGCTTTGAAACACTCTTTTTGTAGAATCTGCAAGTGTACATTTGGAGCACTTTGAGGCCTATGGTGGAAAAGGGAACATCTTCACATACAGAACAGACAGAAGCATTCTGACAAACTTCTTTTCGATGTGTGCATTCAACTCACAGATTTGAACCTTACTTTTCATTGAGCAGATTTGAAACACTCTTTTTGTAGAATCTGCAAGTGGACAATTGGACCGCTTTGTGGCCTATGGTGGAAAAGGATATATCGTCACATAAAAACTAGACAGAAATCTTCTGACAAACTTCTTTGTTATGCATGCATTCATCTTTCAGAGTTGAACCTTCCTTTTGATTGAGCAACTTTGAAACACTCTTTTTGTAGAATCTGCAAGTAGTCATTTGTAGCGCTTTGGAGACTATGGCGAAAAAGGAAATATCTTCCCATAAAAACTAGACAGAAGCATTCTGACAAACTTCTTTGCGATGTGTGCATTCATCTCACAGAGTTGAACCTTACTTTTCATTGAGCAATTTTGAAACACTCTTTTTGGAGAATCTGTAAGTGGACATTTTGAGGGCTTTGACGCACATGGTGGAAAAGGAAATACCTTCACATAAAAACGAGACAGAAGCATTCTGACAAACTACTTTGTAATGTGTGCATTCATCTCTCAGAGCTGGACCTTTCTTTTGATTGAACAGCTTTGAAACACTCTTTTTGTAGAATCTGCAAGTGGACATTTGGAGCGCTTTGAGGCCTATGGTGGAAAAGGAAATATCTTCACAGAAAAACTAGACAGAAGCATTCTGACAAACTACTTTGTGCTGTGTGCATTCATCTCACAGAGCTGGACCTTTCTTTTGATTGAGCAGCTTTGAAACACTCTTTTTGTAGAATCTGCAATTGGACATTTGGAGCACTTTGAGGTCTATGGTCGAAAAGCAAATATCTTCACAGAAAAACTAGACAGAAGCATTTTGAAAAACTTCTTTGTGACGTTTGCATTCATCTCACTGACTTGAAACTTTCTTTTGATTGAGCTGTTTTGAAAAACTCTTTTTGTAGGATCTGCAAGTGGACATTTAGAGTGCTTTGAGGGCTATGGTGGAAAAGAAAATATCTTCACCTAAAAACCAGACAGAAGCATTATGTTAAACTTTTTGTGATGTCTGCATACATCTCACAAAGAGTTGAAACTTTCTTTTGATTGAGCAGCTTTGCAACATTCTTTTTGTGGAATCTGCAAGTGGACATTTGGAGTGCTTTGAGACCTATGGTGGATAACGAAATATGTTCACATAAAAATTGGACAGAAGCATTCTGAGAAACTTCTTTGTGATGTGTGCATTCATCTCACAGAGTTGAACCTCCCTTTTGATTGAGCACTTTGGAAGCACTCTTTCTGTAAAATCTGCAAGTGGACAATTGGAGTGCTTTGAGGCCTATGGTGGAAAAGGAAATATCTTCACATAAGAACTAGACAGAAGAATTCTGAGAAACTCCTTTGTGATGCTTGCATTTATCTAACAGAGTTGAACCTTTCTTTATGATTGAGCAGTTCGGAAACCCTCTTTTTGTAGAATCTGCTAGCGGATATTTGGAGCGTTTTGCAGCCTATGGTGGAAAAGGAAATATCTTCACATAAAAACTAAACAAATGTATTCTGATAAACTTCTATGTGATGTGTGCGTTCATCTCACAGAGTTGAACCTTTCTTTTGATTGAGCAGTTTGGAAACACTCTTTTCGTAGAATCTGCAAGTAGACGTATGGAATGCTTTGAAGCCTATGGTAGAACAGGAAATATCTTCACATAAAATCTAGACAGAGGAATTCTGAGAGACTTCTTTGTGATGCGTGTACTCATCTTACAGAGTTAAAGCTTCCTTTTGAATGAGCAGATTTGAAACTGTCTTTTTGTAGAATCTGCAAGTGGACATTTTGAGCGCCTTGAGGCCTATGGTGGAAAAGAAAATGCCTTCACATGAAAACTAGACAGAAGAATTCTGAGAAACTTCTTTCTGATGTGTGCGTTAATCTCACACAGTTGAACCTTTCTTTTGATTGAGCAGTTTCAAAACACTCTTTTTGTAGAATCTGCAAGTAGACATTTGGAGGGCTTTGTGGCCTACGGTAGAAAAGGAAATATCATCACATAAAATCTAGACAGAAGCAATCTGAGACTTCTTTGTGATGTGTGCATTCACCACACATTGTTTAACCTTTCCCTTGATTGAGCAGTTTTGAAACTCTTTTTGTAGAATCTACAAGTCTACATTTGGAGTGCTTTGAGGCCTATGGTGGAAAAGGAAATATCTTCACATAAAAACTAGTCAAAAGAATTCTGAGAAACTTCTTGGTGATGTGTGCGTTCACCTCACAGGGCTGAACCATTGTTTTGATTGAGCAGTTTGGAAACCCTCTTTTCGTAGAATATGCAAGTGGACATTTGGAGTACTTTGATGCCCCTGGTCGAAAAGGAAATATCTTAACTTAAAAACTAGACAGAATAATTCTGGGAAACTTCTTTCTGATGTGTGCGTTCATCTCACAGAGTTAAACTTTTCATTTTATTGAACAGTTTGGAAACACTCTTTTTGTAGAATCTGCAAGTGGACATTTGGAGCGCATTGTGGTATGCAGTAGAAAAGGAAATGTCTCCACAAAAAATGTAGACAGAAGCATTATGATAAACTTTTTGTGATGTCTGCATACATCTCACAAAGTGTTGAAACTTTCTTTTGATTGAGCAGCTTTGCAACATTCTTTTTGTAGAATCTGCAAGTGGACATTTGGAGTGCTTTGAGGCCTATGGTGGAAAACGAAATATCTTCACATAAAAATTGGACAGAACCATTCTGAGAAACTTCTTTGTGATGTGTGCATTCATCTTACAGGGTTGAACCTCCCTTTTGATTGAGCACTTTGGAAGCACTCTTTTTGTAAAATCTGCAAGTGGACAATTGGAGTGCTTTGAGGCCTATGGTGGAAAAGGAAATATCTTCACTTAAAAACTAGACAGAAGCATTCTGACAAACTTCTTTTCAATGTGTGCGTTCAACTCAAAGATTTGAACCTTACTTTTCATTGAGCAGATTTGAAACACTCTTTTTGTAGAATCTGCAAGTGGACAATTGGACCGCTTTCTGGCCTATGGTGGAAAAGGATGTATCGTCACATAAAAACTAGACAGAAATCTTCTGACAAACTTCTTTGTTATGCATGCATTCATCTTTCAGAGTTGAAACTTCCTTTTGATTGAGCAACTTTGAAACACTCTTTTTGTAGAATCTGCAAGTAGTCATTTGTAGCGCTTTGGGGACTATGGCGAAAAAGGAAATATCTTCACATAAAAACTAGACAGAAGCATTCTGACAAACTTCTTTGTGATGTGGGCATTCATCTCACAGAGTTGAACCTTACTTTTCATTGAGCAATTTTGAAACACTCTTTTTGGAGAATCTGTAAGTGGACATTTTGAGGGCTTTGACGCACATGGTGGAAAAGGAAATATCTTCATATATCTTCATATAAAAAACAGAAGCATTCTGACAACCTTCATTGTGATATGTGCATTCATCTCCCAGAGTTGAACCTTAGTTTTGATTGAGCAGTTTTGAAACACCCTTTTTGTAGTATCTGCAAGAGGACATTTAGAGTGCTTTGAGGCCTATGGTGGAAAAGGAAATACCCTCATATAAAAACGAGACAGAAGCATTCTGACAAACTACTTTGTAAAGTGTGCATTCATCTCTCAGAGCTGGACCTTTCTTTTGATTGAACAGCTTTGAAACACTCTTTTTGTAGAATCTGCAAGTGGACATTTGGAGCGCTTTGAGGCCTATGGTGGAAAAGGAAATATCTTCACAGAAAAACTAGACAGAAGCATTTTGAAAAACTTCTTTGTGACGTTTGCATTCATCTCACTGACTTGAAACTTTCTTTTGATTGAGCTGTTTCGAAAAACTCTTTTTGTAGGATCTGCAAGTGGACATTTAGAGCGCTTTGAGGCCTATGGTGGAAAAGAAAATATCTTCACCTAAAAACCAGACAGAAGCATTCTGAGAAATTTCTTTGTGATGTGTGCAATCATCTCACAGAGTTGAACCTTACTTTTGATTGTCCAGTTTTGAAACACTCTTTTTGTAGAATCTAAAAGTGGACATTTGGAGCGCTTTGAGGCCTATGGTGGATAATGAAATATCTTCATATAATAAATAGAGAGAACAATTCTGAGAAACTTCTTTGGGATGTGTGCATTCATCTCACAGAGTAAAACATTCTTTTGATCCAGCAGTTTTGTAAGTATCTTTTTGTAGAATCTGCAAGTGGACATTTTGAGCCCTTTCAGGCCTATGGTGGAAAAGGAAATATCTACAAATTGAAACTCGGCAGAAGAATTCTGAGAAACTCCTTTGTGATGCTTGCATTTATCTAACAGAGTTGAACCTTTCTTTATGATTGAGCAGTTCGGAAACCCTCTTTTTGTAGAATCTGCTAGCGGATATTTGGAGCGTTTTGCAGCCTATGGTGGAAAAGGAAATATCTTCACATAAAAACTAAGCAGATGTATTCTGATAAACTTCTATGTGATGTGTGCGTTCATCTCACAGAGTTGAACCTTTCTTTTGATTGAGCAGTTTGGAAACACTCTTTTCGTAGAATCTGCAAGTAGATGTATGGAATGCTTTGAAGCCTATGGTAGAACAGGAAATATCTTCACATAAAATCTAGACAGAGGAATTCTGAGAGACTCCTTTGTGATGTTTGTATTCATCTTACAGAATTAAACCTTCCTTTTGAATGAGCAGATTTGAAACTGTCTTTTTGTAGAATCTGCAAGTGGACATTTTGAGCGCCTGGAGGCCTATGGTGGAAAAGAAAATGGCTTCACATGAAAACTAGACAGAAGAATTCTGAGAAACTTCTTTCTTATGTGTGCGTTAATCTCACACAGTTGAACCTTTCTTTTGATTGAGCAGTTTCAAACACTCTTTTTGTAGAATCTGCAAGTGGACTTTTGGAGCACTTTGTGGCCTACGGTAGAAAAGGAAATATCATCACATAAAATCTAGACAGAAGCAATCTGAGACTTCTTTGTGATGTGTGCATTCACCACACATTGTTTAACCTTTCCCTTGATTGAGCAGTTTTGAAACTCTTTTTGTAGAATCTACAAGTCTACATTTGGAGTGCTTTGAGGCCTATGGTGGAAAAGGAAATATCTTCACATAAAAACTAGTCAAAAGAATTCTGAGAAACTGCTTGGTGATGTGTGCGTTCACCACACAGAGCTGAACCATTGTTTTGATTGAGCAGTTTGGAAACCCTCTTTTTGTAGAATCTGCAAGTGGACAATTTGAGCAACTTGTGGCCTCTGGTGGAAAATGAAATATCTTTACATAAAAACTAGACTGAATAATTCTGGGAAACTTCTTTCTGATGTGTGCGTTCATCTCACAGAGTTAAACTTTTCATTTTATTGAGCAGTTTGGAAACACTCTTTTTGTAGAATCTGCAAGTGGACATTTGGAGCGCATTGTGGTATGCAGTAGAAAAGGAAATGTCTCCACAAAAAATGTAGACAGA
>NC_000022.11:13280958-13285143 GCF_000001405.40 Homo sapiens
AGACACAGAGACAAATACTTCATGATCTCACTTACATGAGGAATCTACAACAGTCAAATTCATAAAACAGAGAATAGGACAGTGGTTGCCAGGGGCTCAGGGAGGGGAAATGGGGTGATGTTAATTAAACTGTGCAATGTTCAAGTTATAATAATTTCTGGAGATATAATGTACAACACGGAACAACACTGTATCATATTCTTGTGTTCTGCTAAAGGACTAGATCATAAATTAATTACTGTCAACACACACACAATGGTAAATATGTAGAGATAATATGCTAATTTGCTTGATTGTGGTGATCATTTCGAAAAGTATAGAAATATCAAAACATTAAGTTACCTTAAATTTATACAATTTGTATATGTCATGTTATCATCATAAAGCTGTTAAGAAAGATTTAGTGAATCATGTCAACTACCTGGGAACTTTCTCATGACAGGGAGGGCTGGAGTAGGAAAATGGAATTTTGCAACAAGGATAGGGTGAGGGACATGGGAAATGATTGATCAAGTATTTAAGAAATGACCTGGGTGGAAGCTACATCAAAGGGTATGAGCTTTAGCGCATCAGTCCTCAAACTTTTTGGTTTCAGGAACACTTTACATTTTTAAAAGTTATTGAGGACCCCAAAGAGCTTTTATTTATTTGGATTATATCTATCTATATTTATCATATTAAACATTAAAACTGAGAAATTAAAACAAATAAAATAATATATGTTTACATAAATCACATTTTTATTTAAAATTATCATTTTTAAGCAGTAAAGTTGGTGAGAACAGTGACATTGTTTTATATTTTTAGGTATGTCTTTAAAGTCTGATTTAATAGAAGAAAACTCGGTTCTCCTTTCTGCTTCTATGTTTAATTTCTTGTGACATCCCATGTCAAGTAGCCTCTGGGAAACTCAAATTATACTTGTGATAGAATGAAAGTGGAAAAGTTAAACAAAACCTGTGTCTTTTTATGAAAAGACTTTTGACCTTGCAGAGCCCCTGGAAGAGACTCAGAGACTTCTCAGGGTTCTCTGGCTCATGTGTTCACAGAGTAGACGGTAAGTCCGCAAGAGAAAGCAGTGATTGGCTGTGGGAGGACTTGCTGAGAGGTGGTAGAGAAGAGGTTGGATGTGTAGAAAGTATGCTCGTTATTTTCATTTCTTTTCCCTTTCCTTTGCCCTCTTGTTGCTGGGATTTCCTCTTTAGATGATCGTATCATAAATTAGAAATAGCATTAATGAACATTCTTGATACTGCCTAATGAAAGTTTCTGTTTTGTCTTCCTGAGTCTTGATACATTTCAAGAAGTCTTCTATCTCATTTATTGTTCCCACCGAAATTTGGAATTTAGGAAGAGTCGATATAGCTATATTTAGATGATTTATCTCCCTGAAGACATTTTGGGATCATTTATAAATCTCTATAAACAATGCTCTGATGTTCCTTTATTTTGTTTAGGGACTGGGTCTTGCCGTGTTGTCTGGAGTGGAGTGGCTCGAGCGTAGTTCACAATACACAATGCAATCAAACTCCTGGGCTCAAAGTGATCCTTCCACTCAGCCTCCACAGTAGCTAGGTCTGCAGGTGTGGGCCAGCACGCCTAGCTTTTGATTACTATTATTATTTTTGTAGAAATGAGGGTTTCATTATGCTGCCCAGGCTGGTCTTCCAACTCCTGGCCTCCAGCGATCCTCCTGCCTTCCGCCGTCTGAGGAGCTGAGATTACAGGTGTAAGCCACCATGCTGGTCCTGATGTCATTTAAATACAAACATGATACTGTATTCCTTGTAGAAAGTGCTACATAAATATAATTTTTTTGAAATAGGGTCTTGCTGTGTCACCCAGGCTGGAATGCAGTGGTATGATCACACTCACTGCAGCCTTGACCTGCTGGGCTTAAGTGATCCTCCCACCTCGGCCTTCCAAGTAGCTGGGACCTGAGGTATGAGCCAAGAAGCCCAGAGAATTTTTCAATTTTTGGTAAAGATCGGCGTGTCACTGTGTTGCCCAGGGTGGTCTTGAACTCTTGGGCTCAAGTTACCCTCTGCCCAGGTCTCCCAAAGTGCTGGGATTACAGGCCTGAACCACTGCACCGGGTCCTAAAAATTTATTCACTTTATTTGTTTGTGCACAAGGTGCTGCTGTTTCCCTTCTAATAACATGAGACAGCTCACTCAAGAACATCAAGAACACGACATTCTCTAAAAAAAATCATAATAGTTCCTTTTCCATAACTATTAAGTTTTCAAGATGTTATCAGGTTTATCTCATAGAAAGAATGTGTAAAATTTTTCATGTAGAAACATAATCTTTTAGCAATGAGTTAGTTAAAAAATTTGGCATTGTCAGAATGAAGATTTCCTTTTCCCTGTAATTTTATTTATTATAATTATATTTTTAGTGATATCAATTGCTTTATAAAAACTCATTGCATTATATACTCAATGACTGTGAAATCGTCTGCTTTGAAGCACAGTGAAGTCATCAATCAGCATACTGGGTCTAACACAGTTCCTTCCATTTTAAGAAAGCTATTTACACTCCAATTTGCAAGTTGGATTTTACAAAAATTAAAACATTTAGAAAATATACTAACTTTGATTGTTTTAAAAAGTAGTGGATTTTTATGGTAAGGAAACAAATTGAAGCTCTGTTTTGGAAAGTGCAGAAAACAAATCAGCATCTTTATAAATAGGTTTTACTGCTGGTTTAGAAATTACCTTATGTGCTTTATAGATGATGGAAAATGAAATCAGCTGCAGTTAGCAGTGTGCATGCATCGTACTAGTTGTGTCACTTTCAGAAAGATTATGGAATATTGGCAGGTCAGGATTCTCAAAATGATAAGTTCTAAGAAGAGGTTAAATGAAAAAGAATTTTAAAAGCAAGGCTAATTGTTTAATATATACATGGACGAGTTATGAGGAAATCCTGGACTGGGAGCTAGCAGATCTATGTTCTGACTTTTACTAAGTCATTGGCTGCTACAGCAGGCCAAGCAAACATAACTGCCAAGGCTGCCTGGGAGTTGGGTTGATTGGCAATTGGCACAGGGAGAGAGGACAATTGCCAGAATAATGGCCAAATAGTCAGGGTTTCATGTTGAGTGAAGCAGGACGTGCATTTGTATCCCAAGGGCAAAACTGACGCTAGAATCTGGGCCTCCTGGCTGAATCTGAGTCCACAGTCTGATGAGTAGGATGAAGTAGTCTCAGAAATCCAAGCCAGCCAGAACCCATGAGGTGTGCTCTGCAGATATTGGCTGGCAAGCTGCATTAAGATGTTTCATTCCATTGAGCAAACATTTCCTTGATTGGTTAGGTTAGCATCCCACAAGAGCAGAGACAAATTCTTCAGAATTTGTCCATGAAGCTATAGTCCCAGAGCTTATATTTCAAGGGAGGAGGGAGGAAACAACATCTCAGGATGGTAGGTGATTACAGCTAAACCGAATTCTGAAAATAAAAGGAACCCTATGTCTTTGTCTGCTCAGGCTGCTTCTACAAACAACTGTAGACTGAGTGGTTTAAACAGCACATACTTGTTTCTCACAGCTGTGGGAATTCAAAGATTAAAATCTGGGCCAGCAGAGCCAGTGTCTTGTGAAGGCCCTCTTATTGGTTTGCAGGTGTTCTTGTTGTATCTTCACATGGCTGAGTGAAGAAGGCTCTAGTCTTCTACTCTTCTTATTAGGATGCTAACCCCATTGTGGGAACTCCATCCTCATCAAAACCAAATTACTTCCCAAAGGTCCTCCTTCTAATGCCATTCTATTGTTAGAGTTTCAACATGTGCATTTGTTGATGCAAACATGCAGTGCACAGCATCTTATCTAATCAAGTCAGTTGTCCCTTGAATAAAATTCTAGCTCCTATAACAAGACTTCAAATTATGACTTGGTTGTTGCCAAAACTATCTATCTGGATTTGCTAGAAATCAAACATACTTGAATATTTCCTCTAAAGGTTTTCTCATTCCTACCCTATTGTGTATATTTACAGAATTCTTAAATAATTACATACTCAAGGCTTCTATTAGCTCTGACGAGAGCTTCTATTAGCTTTGACTATTGCAAGCAGCTTTATAGCACTGTAGGTAAAAACATGTGCTTTGAAATCATACAATAAATTTATTGAATGCTAAGCACTTTATAACCACTATTTAATGTTATCATCTTAATAACCT
>NC_000022.11:14419554-14419894 GCF_000001405.40 Homo sapiens
ATAATTCTCAGTAACTTCCTTGTGTTGTGTGTATTCAACTCACAGAGTTGAAGGATCCTTTACAGAGAGCAGGCTTGAAACACTCTTTTTGTCGAATTTGCAAGTGGAGATTTCAGCCGCTTTGAGGTCAAAGGTAGAATAGGAAATATCTTCTTATAGAAACTAGACACAATGATTCTCAGAAAATCTTTTGTGATGTGTGCGTTCAACTCACAGAGTTTAACTTTTCTTCTCATAGAGCAGTTAGGAAACACTCTGTTTGTAAAGTCTGCAAGTGGATATTCAGACCTCTTTGAGGCCTTCGTTGGAAACGGGATTTCTTCATATTATGCTAGACAGA
>NC_000022.11:14419994-14420334 GCF_000001405.40 Homo sapiens
ATCATTCTCAGAAACTGCTCTGCGATGTGTGCGTTCAACTCTCAGAGTTTAACTTTTCTTTTCATTCAGCAGTTTGGAAACACTCTGTTTGTAAAGTCTGCACGTGGATATTTTGACCACTTAGAGGCCTTCGTTGGAAACGGGTTTTTTTCCTGTAAGGCTAGACAGAAGAATTCCCAGTAACTTCCTTGTGTTGTGTGTGTTCAACTCACAGAGTTGAACTTTCATTTACACAGAGCAGATTTGAAACACTCTTTTTGTGGAATTTGCAAGTGGAGATTTCAAGCGCTTTGAGGCCAAAGGCAGAAAAGGAAATATCTTCGTTTCAAAACTAGACAGA
>NC_000022.11:14420434-14421632 GCF_000001405.40 Homo sapiens
AATATTCTGGGAAAGTTCTTTGTGGTGCGTGCATTCATGTCATAGAGTTGAAACTTTCTTTTGATGGAGCAGTTTTGAAACACTCTTTTTGTACAATCTGCTAGTGGATAATTGGAGCCCTTTGAGGACTATTGTGGAAAAGGAAATATCTTCACGTAAAAACTACATAGAACCATTCTGAGATACTTCTTTTTGATGTTTGCATTCATCTCACAGTGTTGAAACTTTCTTTTGATTGAGCAGTTTTGAAACACTCTTTTTGTAGAATCTGCAAGTGAATAATTGGAGCCCTTTGAGGGCTATGGTAGAAAAGGAAATATCTTCAAATAAGAACTACAAAGAAACATTCTCAGAAACTTATTTGTGATGTGTGCATTCAACTCACAGGGCTGAACATATCTTTTGATTTAGCAGTTTTGAATTTCTCTTTTTGCAGAATCTGCAAGGGGATGTTTGGAGAGCTTTCAGGCATATTGTGGAAAGGGAAATATTTTCACATAAAAACTACACAGAACCATTCTGAGAAACTTCTTTGTGTCGTGTGCATTCAACTCACAGAGTTGAACATATGTCCTCTTTGAGCAGTTTTGCGTCTCTCTTTTTGTAGAATGTACAAGTGGATATTTGGAGCCCATTGTGTCCTATGGTGGAAAAGGAAATATCTTCAGATAAAAATTACACAGAAGCATTCTGATAAACTTCTTTGTGATGTATGCATTCAACTCACAGACTTGAACCTATCTTAAGAATGAGCAGTTTTGAATCTCTCTTTTTGCAGAATCTGCAACTGGATATTTTGAGGGCCTTAAGGCCTACCGTGGAAAAGCAATTATCTTCAGATTAAAACTACACAGAAGCATTCAGAGAAACATCTTTGTGATGTTTGCATTCATCTCACAGAGTTAAAACTTTCTCTTGATGGAGCAGTTTTGAAACACTCTTTTTGTAGAATCTGCAAGTGGATATTTGGAGCCCTTTGAGGCCTGTTGTGGAAAAGGAAATATCTTCCCATGAAAACTACATAGAAGTATTCTGAGAAACTTCTTTGCAATGTGTGCATTCAACTCACAAGAGTTGAACCTATCTTTTGATTGAGGATTTTTGAATCTTTCTTTTTGCAGAATCTGCAAGTGTATGTTTGCAAAGCTTTGTGGCCTATTGTGGAAAAGGAAATGTCTTCACATAAAAACTACACATA